>NC_000023.11:81553451-81856481 GCF_000001405.40 Homo sapiens | reverse complement strand
GAGTCTTTATATTTCTTTAGTTTACCTAACTGCTCTGGCGTAGTTTTCCAATACTATGATGAATAGAAGTGGCAGGATTGGAAATCCTTGTGTTGTTCCAGGTCTCAAAGGAAAGCCTTTCAGTTTTTCACCATTGAATATAATGTTAGCTGTGGGCTTCTCATACATTGTATTTATTGTGTTGAGATAAATTTCTTCTATACCTAATTTGGTAAGAGATGTTATTATGTAATGATGTTTAATGTTGTCAAATGATTTTTACATATAATGAAATGTTATGTTTTTGTCCTTCATTCTGTTAATATGATATATTTATTTATTTGTGTATGTTGAAGCATCTCTGCATTCCAGAGACAAATCCCACTTGATAATGATGAAGGATTTTTTTAAAGTGTTGTTGAATTTGGCTATATGTAATTTTCTTTTTTTATAATGTCCATGTTTGGCTTTGGTATCAGGGTAACGCTAGCTTGATAAAAACAGTATGAAAATATTCCATCCTCTTTGATTTTTTGGAACAGTTTGAGAAGGACTGGTATTAATTCTTTATTAGATGTTTGCTAAAATTTAGCAATGAAGCCACCAGGTCCTAAGTTGCTCTTTCATGGGAGACTTTTAGCTACTGCTTCAATCTCCTTACTCACTAATGATCTGTTTAGTTTTTCTATTTCTTCTTGATACAGTCTTGCTAAGTTTCAACTGTCCAGGAATTTATCTATTTCTTCTAGGTTATCCAATTTGTTGACATACAATTGTTCATAGTAGTCTCTTAAAATGCTTTGTATTTCTGTGATATCAGTTGTAATGTCT
Organism: Homo sapiens; assembly: GCF_000001405.40. Lineage (NCBI taxonomy): Eukaryota > Metazoa > Chordata > Mammalia > Primates > Hominidae > Homo > Homo sapiens. Next base: position 81,855,671 of record NC_000023.11, on the reverse strand, counting down.
CCCTTTGCATTTGTGATTTTATTTACTTGAAACTTTTTTATTTCTTAGCTTAGTTAAAGTTTTGTCAATTTTTTATCTTTTCAAGAAAACTGTTCATTTTATTTCTTGTATAGTTTTTCTAACCTCTATTTCATTTATTTCTGCTATGACCATTATTATTTTCTTCCTCCTGCTATCTTTGAAATTTGTTTGTTCTGTTTTTAGTTTCTTGAGGTGTAACATTAGGTTTTTAAATATATTTCTTCTTTTTTGATGTAGTGTTTATTGCTATAAAATTTTATTATTTATTTATTTTTGAGGTACGGTCTCACTTTGTCACCCAGGCTGAAGTGAGTGGCACGATCATGACTCATGGAAGCCTCGACTTCCCAGGATCAAATGATTCTCCTACCTCAGGCCCCCAAGTAGCTCAGACTACAGACCTAAGCCACAACATCAAGCTAATTTATTATTATTATTACTATTATTATTATTGTAGAGACAGGGTCTCACTCTTTTGCCCCAGCTGGTCTTGGACTCCTGGGCTCATGCAATCATCCCACCTCACCCTCCCAAAGGGCTGGGGTTACAAATTTGAGCTACTATGCCTGGACAACTTTCTACTTAAAACAGCTTTTGCTGTATCATATAAGGTTTAATATGTTGTGTTTTCATTTTCATCCATCTAAAGATACTTTTTAAATTCCCCTTTTAATTTTTTCATTTACCCATTGGTTGTTCAAAAGCATTTTGTTTAATTTCCAAGTATTTTTAAATCAAAATTTCAGATACTGATTTTTAGTTTTGTACCATTGCAATCAGATAATATAAATGATATAATTTTAGTTTTCTTAAATTTCCAGAAGTTTGCTTTGTGTTTTACCATGTTTTCTATCTTGGAGAATGTTCTATGTGTGCCTGAGAAAAATATATTTTCTGTAGTTTTGGATAGAATGCTCTGTATATGTATGTTAGGTCCATTTTTTATAAAGTGTTGTTCAATTCAAATGTTGTATTAACTTTCTGTCTGAATTATCTGTTTATTGTTGCAAGTAAGATATTGAAGTCACTACTATTGTATTGCAATCTATTTCTCCCTTTATTTTCTTTAACATTTGTTTTACATATTTAATTCCTCCAATATTGGGTGCATATATATTAATAGTTATATTTTGATATGGTTTGTATCTGTGTCCCAACTAAATCTCATGTCGAATAGCAATCCCTAATGTTGGAGGAGGGGCCTGGTGGGAGGTGATTGATCATGGGGGCAGCTTTCTCATGAATGGTTTAGCACCATCCCCTTGGTACTCTACTCACAATCATGAGTGAGTACTTGTGAGATCTGGTCATTTAAAAGTGTGTAGCACATTCTCTTTCTCTCTCTCTTGCTCCTGCTCCCAACATGTGAGACATCTTACTTTTCTTTTGTCTTCTGCCATTATTAGATGCTCCCTGGGGCCTCCTCAGAAGCAGAAGCTGTTATGCTTCCTGTACAGCCTGCAGAACAGCTTGCCAATTACACCTTTTTCTCTATAAATTACCCAGTCTCAGGTATTTCTTTATAGCAATGTGAGAATGGACTAATTCTGAAAATTGGTACCAATGAGTTGGACATTGCTGTAAAGATACCTGAAAATGTGGAAATGACTTTGGAACTGGGTAATAGGTAGAAGTTGGAAGAGTTTGGAGGGCTCAGAAGAAGATAGGAAGATGAGGGCAAGTTAGAACTTTCTAGAGACTGGGTGAATGACTGTGACTAAAATGCTCATAGTGATAGGGACAGTGAAGTTCAGGCTGATGAAGTCTCAGATAAAAATGAGAAACATATTGGGAACTGAACCAACAGTCACTTTTTTTATGTCTTAGCAAAGAATTTGGCTGCACTGCACCCATGCCCTAGGGATCTGTGGAACTTTGAACTTGAGAATGTTGATTTAGCGTATCCAGCAGAAGAAATTTCTAAGCAGCAAAGCATTTAAGATGTGGCCTGGCTGCTTCTAACAATCTTTTCTCATATGTATGAAAAAAGAAATGACCTAAAGTTGGAATTTATATTTAAAAAGGAAGCAGAGCATAAAAATTCAGAAAATTGGCAGCCTGTCTATGTGGTAGAAAGGAAAAGCCCATTTGCAGGGGATAAATTCAGTCAAGCTTCAGAAATAAGTAAAATGAGCCAATTGTTAATAGCCAAGAGAGTGGGAAAAATGCCTCAAAGGCATTTTAGAGACCTTTGTAGCAGCCTCTCACCTCACAAGCCTGAAGTCCTAAAAGTACTGAATGGATTTGTCGGCCAGGCTCAAGGCCTGTTGCTCTGCACAGCCTCTGAAGATTGCTCCCTATATCCCAGCTGCTCCAGCTGCAGCTGTGGTTCAAAGGGACCCAGGTAGACCTTGGGCCACTGCTTCAGAGAATGTAAGTCATAAGCCTTAGCACCTCCTGTGATTTTAAGCCTGTAAGCGCACAGAGTGGAAGAGTTGAGGCTTGGGAGCCTCTGTAGAGATTTCAGAAGATGTATGGAAATGCCAGGATGTTCAGCCTCTGCTGAAGGGGTGGAGCCCTAATGGAGAAGCTCTACTAGAGCAATGTGGAGAAAAAAAATATTGAGTTGGAGCCCCCACAGAGTCCCCACTGGGGTAATGCCTAGTAGAGCTGTGAGAAGAAGGCCACCATCCTCCAGACCTCAGAATGGTAGATTTACAAGCATCTTGCACCCTGTACTTGTGAAAGCTGCAGAGAGTCAATGCCATCCCATGAGAGTCGCTACAGGGGCTAAATCCTGCAAAGCCACAAGGGCGGAGCTGCCCAAGACCTTGGGAGCCTACCCTTCACACTACAGTGCCCTAGATGTGGGACATAAAGTCAAAGCTTTAAGATTTAATGACTGCCCTGCTGGGTTTCAAACTTGCATGGGGCCTGCAGTCCCTTTCTTCTGGCCAATTTCTTCCTTTTTGAATAAGATTATTTACCCAAATGCCTCTATCCCCATTGTATCTTGGGTGCAACTACTTTGTTTTTTATTCTACAGGCTCAAAGGAAGAAAAGACTAGCTTTGTCTCTGATGAGACTCAGGACTTTGGCATTTTGAGTTAATGCTGTAATAAATTAAGAGTTTGGGGAACTGGGCCAGGTGTGGTGGTTTACGCCTGTAATCCCAGCCCTTTGGGAGGCTGAGGTAGGTGGATCATCTGAGGTTGGTAGTTCAAGACCAGCCTGACTGACGTGGAGATACCCCATCTCTACTAAAAAAATACACAATTAGTCAGGTGTGGTTGTGCATGCCTGTAATCCCAGCTACTTGGGAGGCTGAGGCAGGAGAATCGCTTGAACCCGGGAGGCAGAGGTTGTGGTGAGCCAAGTTTGCACCATTGCACTCCAGCCTAGGCAACAAGAGTGAAACTTCATCTCAAACAAAAGAAAAAAAAAAGAGTTTGGGAACTGTTTGGGAGGCATGATTGCATTTTGCAATGTAAGAAGGACATGAGATTTTGGAGGCTAGGAGTAGAATAATATGCCTTGGATCTGTGTCCCCTCCAAATCTGTCAAATTACAATCTCTGATTTTGGAGGTGAGGCCTGGTGGGAGGTGATTGGATTATGGGGTCAGCTTTCTCATGAATGGTTTAGCACCACCCCCTTGGTACTGTTCTTATAATCATGAGTGACTGCTCATGAAATCTGGTTGTTTAAAAGTGTGTAGGACTGTCTCCCCTTTTTGTCTTATTCTCCTGCTTCCACCATGTGAGATGTCTCACTCCCCCTTTGCCTTTTGCCATGATTGGAAGCTTCCTGAGCCTTCCCCAGAAGCAGAAGCCACTATGCTTCCTGTGTAGCCTTCAGAACGAAGAGCCTATTAAACCTGTTTTCTCTATAAATCACCCAGTCTCAGATATTTCTTCATAGAAGTGTGAAAATCAACTAATACACAGCCTCTTGAAGAGTTTACTCCTTTATTATTATATAATGCCCTTCTTTGCATTTTTTAAAATAATTTTTGACTTAAAGTTTTTTTTTGATATTAGCGTAGTTACCTCTCCTCTCTTGATTTCAATATAAGTGGAATATCTTTTTCCATTCTTTTGAATTATCCATTATACATGAATTTAATTCATGTATATTCAAGTTAATTAATGATGGATAACAACTTACTGCTCCCATTTTGTTAATTGTTTTCTGGTTGTTTTGTAGATATTTTTTCTTCGTATTTTTATTCTTTCTTTATGCTTTGATGGTTTTCTGCACTGCTATGCTTTGAATCATTTCTGTATTTGTTTGGTAGTTCCTACTAAAGAGATTTGCTTTGTGGTTATTATGAAGTTAACAGAGTATCTTATAATGACAATAGCTAATTTAATGCTGATAACAATTTAACTTTGATTACAAACAACAAATCTACACTTTTATTTACACACATTTTATGTTTTGATGTCAGAATCTACATCATTTTATATTTGTTAACAATTATTTTGGCTTAAGATATTATTAATAGTTTTTTTAATCCTCTTACTAGGAATATATTATTGTTTCAGTCCTGGAATATTATGAATAAGGCTCTGCTTTACTTATGCCACTGAGATTTGTGCTGTCATGACTTTTCTGTTATTATCAGGTTTTTTGTTTCAGTTTAAAGAATTTCCTTTAGGAATTCTTGTAAGGCAGGTATAGAGGTGATAAACTCCCTTAGTTTTATTTTTGTCTGGGAAAGTTTTTGTTCTGAAAGACAGCTTTGCTCAATAAAGCATTCTTTGTTGTATTTTTTTTCTTTCTTTAATTACTTTTAGTACATAATCCCACTCTCTCCTCGTATATAAATTTCTTCTGAAAAATCCATTGATAATCATATTGAAAAATTTTGTATGATACATATTTCTTATCTCTTGCTTCTCTAAGTTTTTTTTTCTTTTTTCTTTTTCTTTCTTTCTTTCTTTTTTTTTTTTTTTTTTTTTTTTTTTTGAGAAAGGGTCTCACTCTGTCTCCCAGTCTGGAGTGCAGTGTTGCACTCATGGGTCATTGCAACCTCAATGGCCCAGGTTCAAGTGATTCTCTCACCTCAGCCTAACCCAAGTAGCTGGGACTACAGGTACATACCACTGTGCTTAGCCATTTTTTAATTTTTGTAGAGATGAAGTCTCACTTTGTTGTCTAGATTGGTCTCCAACTCTTGACCTCAAGAAATCCTCTCACTCTGGCCTCCCAAAGTGCTGGAATAACAGGCATGAGCCATCATACCCAGACATGTCTTTGGCTTTTGATAGTTTTAGTATTACGTGTTTTGGTGAATTGCTCTTTGGGTTGAATTTGATTGGAGATCTCTGTGCTTCCTGTACCTGGATATTAGAATATTTCCCCACATTAGGAAAGTTTTCAGCCGTTATTTTTTTAAAATATGCTTTCTGCTCTTTTTTCTCTTTCTTCTCCTACTGCCACCCTTATCTTTGAAGGTTTGGTCTCTCGATGGTCTCTCACAATTCCCATTGGCTTTCTTTTTTTTTTTATTGTTTTGTCTTTTTGCTCCTATTATAGGATAATTTCAAATGTTCTGTCTTCCAACTCACTGAGTCTTCTGCTTGATCATGATTGATGTCAAATATTTCTATTGAATTTTTTAGTTCAGTAATTTTATTCTTTATCTCTGAAAATTGTATCTTTTTATCATTCTTCTTTATCATACTTCTCGCTTTGTGTACTTTTTCAAATTTAATAAAATTATCTGTCTATGTATTCTTGCAGCTTACTGGACCTCTTTATTTTTATTATTCTAATTTCCTTGTCATTCATGTTATAGATGTTAATTTATTTGAGTTCCATTACTGGAACTTTATTAGTTTCTTTTGGAGATGTCATGATTCCCTGATTCTTCCTAAGTCCTGTGTTCTTTCATTATTGTTTAAATATATAAGGAGTCATATATATATTCTGGCCTTACAGGTATTCTTTTTGAAAGGATAAACCTTTACTGTTTAAACTAGTTGTGATTCTGGAAGGACCAGTTAGTGACAACCCCAGGCAGGCAGAACTTGCTGTGAATGTTTTAGTTGGCTGGGCCTCTGTCATTGCTCTGATGTTTGGTAGAGTTGATAGCTGGGCTCTGCTGTCTGCTGAGACCACTGGGTGGGCTGGGCTAGGCTATCATATAGAGCTGCTGGGTGGGTACTTCAATGGCTTCTTGTAACACCATTCACAGGAAACCTTCCCCAGCTGGGCCATTTGGCTATTTGTGATTTGTAGTTGGGCAGTACTGCAGGCTGGGCTGTAAGGTTAAGCAGAGGTTGCTGCTCAGCAAAGGTAAGGCCAGGGGCTATGCTCCTTAAAAATGCACAATTGAGAATTACATTCCTGTCAGGATGGAGCTATGGTGTAGACTTTTAGCTGAGTTGAGTTGCTGTTTACCTTCCTGGGTAAAGCATGTCTAGTCTCTGTGAATCTCCAAAATGAACATAGATGAAAATATCCCTATCTGGGTGAAATTGTTGGGTGACTCTTTGGCTGATTGTAGCTGCTTGACATCCCAGGTCAAGCCAGTCTATATCCTTTTCTTCTGTTTCCCTGCCTGGACAGAGTTGTTGGGAGGACTTTTTTTTGCTGGGTGAAGCCACTGCTTGACTTCCTGGATCAAACAGGTCTAGCACTTACACTTCTTAATAATGGTAAGAGGTGGGTGTCTTCATGCTTGAGTGGTCATTGGGGTGAGTCCTCAGGCTGGGTGTGTAGACTAGCAGTCTAAGTACTCAAGCTTGGTCAAATTTCTCACTGCGCTTCTGAAGGTGACCAGTTCAGTTTTGCAGGTGAACTTCGAGGTTAGTTGGTACCTGCCATCAGGCATTATAGCTAACAAAAATACAGATGTACCATCAAGATCCATGCATAGATCACTATGACCTGTGCCCTCTTTCTGTGTTTCTGCCTTATTCCAGGCAGCTTAGTGATGCCATTTTTTTCTAGTGTTTCCTTTAGTGCTGCTTCTCCTAGAGTATTTACCAAAATGAGATTAGATTGGGATTTCTGGGAAGTGTCTTGGAGTGTTAGGGAAACTAGATAACTGTCTTCAGTTTTCATTTCCTCCCGTAGATACTAAGCACCCACAAAAATTCTCTCCATTTGGTTTTATTCCAACTTGAGGGAGAAGGATGGGTGACATGGTCTAATTTGGAATTCACTCATTTCTGTGAACAATGTGGTTATCTTAGGTTTGTTTCCAAGTATTGGGGTTTTTTAAAGGATGTTATGGTGTGTGGTTAGTCAGCAGTTGAACTTTCTTCGTGAGAAAGGGAGCCTGAGACATCCAGTTCCACCATCTTTCTGATTTTCTATCTTCAATTTCTTTTAGTATTAAAAACCAATATCCGTGTGCTGGATGTGGTAGTTAATATTGGTGTGCAGTTGCTTCTAGGACCTCTCAGTTGACACAGAAGGAAATATTTACATATAAGTATATGAACATACTTGTGTCTATAAATGTATCTATAAATATGTGTAATTATCTGTATCTCTATTACGCTAAACATAATGTCTCCAACTCTAAACCATTAGCACATATATCATTCTAGCCACCAACCTTGCTTATATGTAAACTCTTAGTCCAACAGCAATAAATGGCATGTCTACCATCGTCCAGACATTTGCTTGCATGTTAAATTATAGTATAAATATATATTGGTTTCAGAGTTGTTAATCCATACATCTGTGAGAAACAACTTTACAACCTAGACTACACTGCTTATGTACAGTTTCTTTTATTTTTAATTTTTAGTTTTTATTGACTTTCAAAGTTACTTAGCTCAGCACCTGTTTTCCTCCATGTCCTTCACAGAGCTTGTCTCATACAGTTGTATTATATATATGTAGATACTTTTGTTGAAGTCCACATTCAATCTTAGTAACTCCTGAACTCCTAATTGATTTTTTCAAGAATTTACCTATATTAAGTTTCACAATATGGTGCTATAAAAGTCCATAGGTTTTGACAAATACATATTATAATGTATATACCTTCACTATTTCACAAAGATTCATCCTCCTACTTTAAAAAATCTCCTATATTACATTTTCTCTTCCTCAAATGCTTGATAACAACTAATTTGTTTTCACTTTCTATAGTTTTGCCTTTTCCAGAATGACATGAATGAAATCATAGAGAATGTAGAATTTTCAGGCTGTCTTTTTTTACTTAGAAATATGCATTTAAGATTCAGTGATTTTTATGTGGATTGATAGTTTATTCTTTTTTATTACTCAGTGGCAGTCCATTTCATAGATAGTTCATTCCTATTTATTATTGAATAGCATTCAATACCTCCAATTTCACTCACCTACTAAAGGATATCCTGGTTGCTTCCAGTTTTTGGTAATAAAGAATAAAAATACTACTAATAGGTTTTATTTTCAGTTTTTTTTGTAGACTTAAGTTTTCAATTACCTTGCATAAATACATAGGAGCATGGGAATGTTGGGTCATATGGTAAGATAATGTTGAATTTATAAGAAACTGCCAAATTGCCTTCTTTTTTTTTTTTTTTTTTTTTATTATACTCTAAGTTTTAGGGTACATGTGCACATTGTGCAGGTTAGTTACATATGTATACATGTGCCATGCTGGTGCGCTGCACCCACTAATGTGTCATCTAGCATTAGGTATATCTCCCAATGCTATCCCTCCCCCCTCCCCCGAACCCACCACAGTCCCCAGAGTGTGATATTCCCCTTCCTGTGTCCATGTGATCTCATTGTTCAATTCCCACCTATGAGTGAGAATATGCGGTGTTTGGTTTTTTGTTCTTGCGATAGTTTACTGAGAATGATGGTTTCCAATTTCATCCATGTCCCTACAAAGGATATGAACTCATCATTTTTTATGGCTGCATAGTATTCCATGGTGTATATGTGCCACATTTTCTTAATCCAGTCTATCATTGTTGGACATTTGGGTTGGTTCCAAGTCTTTGCTATTGTGAATAGTGCCGCAATAAACATACGTGTGCATGTGTCTTTATAGCAGCATGATTTATACTCATTTGGGTATATACCCAGTAATGGGATGGCTGGGTCAAATGGTATTTCTAGTTCTAGATCCCTGAGGAATCGCCACACTGACTTCCACAATGGTTGAACTAGTTTACAGTCCCACCAACAGTGTAAAAGTGTTCCTATTTCTCCGCATCCTCTCCAGCACCTGTTGTTTCCTGACTTTTTAATGATTGCCATTCTAACTGGTGTGAGATGATATCTCATAGTGGTTTTGATTTGCATTTCTCTGATGGCCAGTGATGATGAGCATTTCTTCATGTGTTTTTTGGCTGCATAAATGTCTTCTTTTGAGAAGTGTCTGTTCATGTCCTTCGCCCACTTTTTGATGGGGTTGTTTGTTTTTTTCTTGTAAATTTGTTTGAGTTCATTGTAGATTCTGGATATTAGCCCTTTGTCAGATGAGTAGGTTGCAAAAATTTTCTCCCATGTTGTAGGTTGCCTGTTCACTCTGATGGTAGTTTCTTTTGCTGTGCAGAAGCTCTTTAGTTTAATTAGATCCCATTTGTCAATTTTGTCTTTTGTTGCCATTGCTTTTGGTGTTTTGGACATGAAGTCCTTGCCCACGCCTATGTCCTGAATGGTAATGCCTAGGTTTTCTTCTAGGGTTTTTATGGTTTTAGGTTTAACGTTTAAATCTTTAATCCATCTTGAATTGATTTTTGTATAAGGTGTAAGGAAGGGATCCAGTTTCAGCTTTCTACATATGGCTAGCCAGTTTTCCCAGCACCATTTATTAAATAGGGAATCCTTTCCCCATTGCTTGTTTTTCTCAGGTTTGTCAAAGATCAGATAGTTGTAGATATGCGGCATTATTTCTGAGGGCTCTGTTCTGTTCCATTGATCTATATCTCTGTTTTTGTACCAGTACCATGCTGTTTTGGTTACTGTAGCCTTGTAGTATAGTTTGAAGTCAGGTAGTGTGAGGCCTCCAGCTTTGTTCTTTTGGCTTAGGATTGACTTGGCAATGCGGGCTCTTTTTTGGTTCCATATGAACTTTAAAGTAGTTTTTTCCAATTCTGTGAAGAAAGTCATTGGTAGCTTGATGGGGATGGCATTGAATCTGTAAATTACCTTGGACAGTATGGCCATTTTCACGATATTGATTCTTCCTACCCATGAGCATGGAATGTTCTTCCATTTGTTTGTCTCCTCTTTTATTTCCTTGAGCAGTGGTTTGTAGTTCTCCTTGAAGAGGTCCTTCACATCCCTTGTAAGTTGGATTCCTAGGTATTTTATTCTCTTTGAAGCAATTGTGAATGGGAGTTCACCCATGATTTGGCTCTCTGTTTGTCTGTTGTTGGTGTATAAGAATGCTTGTGATTTTTGTACATTGATTTTGTATCCTGAGACTTTGCTGAAGTTGCTTATCAGCTTAAGGAGATTTTGGGCTGAGACGATGGGGTTTTCTAGATAAACAATCATGTCGTCTGCAAACAGGGACAATTTGACTTCCTCTTTTCCTAATTGAATACCCTTTATTTCCTTCTCCTGCCTGATTGCCCTGGCCAGAACTTCCAACACTATGTTGAATAGGAGCGGTGAGAGAGGGCATCCCTGTCTTGTGCCGGTTTTCAAATGGAATGCTTCCAGTTTTTGCCCATTCAGTATGATATTGGCTGTGGGTTTGTCATAGATAGCTCTTATTATTTTGAAATACGTCCCATCAATACCTAATTTATTGAGAGTTTTTAGCATGAAGGGTTGTTGAATTTTGTCAAAGGCTTTTTCTGCATCTATTGAGATAATCATGTGGTTTTTGTCTTTGGCTCTGTTTATATGCTGGATTACATTTATTGATTTGCGTATATTGAACCAGCCTTGCATCCCAGGGATGAAGCCCACTTGATCATGGTGGATAAGCTTTTTGATGTGCTGCTGGATTCGGTTTGCCAGTATTTTATTGAGGATTTTTGCATCAATGTTCATCAAGGATATTGGTCTAAAATTCTCTTTTTTGGTTGTGTCTCTGCCCGGCTTTGGTATCAGAATGATGCTGGCCTCATAAAATGAGTTAGGGAGGATTCCCTCTTTTTCTATTGATTGGAATAGTTTCAGAAGGAATGGTACCAGTTCCTCCTTGTACCTCTGGTAGAATTCGGCTGTGAATCCATCTGGTCCTGGACTCTTTTTGGTTGGTAAACTATTGATTATTGCCACAATTTCAGAGCCTGTTATTGGTCGATTCAGAGATTCAACTTCTTCCTGGTTTAGTCTTGGGAGAGTGTATGTGTCGAGGAATGTATCCATTTCTTCTAGATTTTCTACTTTATTTGCGTAGAGGTGTTTGTAGTATTCTCTGATGGTAGTTTGTATTTCTGTGGGATCGGTGGTGATATCCCCTTTATCATTTTTTATTGTGTCTATTTGATTCTTCTCTCTTTTTTTCTTTATTAGTCTTGCTAGCGGTCTATCAATTTTGTTGATCCTTTCAAAAAACCAGCTCCTGGATTCATTGATTTTTTGAAGGGTTTTTTGTGTCTCTATTTCCTTCAGTTCTGCTCTGATTTTAGTTATTTGTTGCCTTCTGCTAGCTTTTGAATGTGTTTGCTCTTGCTTTTCTAGTTCTTTTAATTGTGATGTTAGGGTGTCAATTTTGGATCTTTCCTGCTTTCTCTTGTAGGCATTTAGTGCTATAAATTTCCCTCTACACACTGCTTTGAATGCGTCCCAGAGATTCTGGTATGTGGTGTCTTTGTTCTCGTTGGTTTCAAAGAACATCTTTATTTCTGCCTTCATTTCGTTATGTACCCAGTAGTCATTCAGGAGCAGGTTGTTCAGTTTCCATGTAGTTGAGCGGCTTTGAGTGAGATTCTTAATCCTGCGTTCTAGTTTGATTGCACTGTGGTCTGAGAGATAGTTTGTTATAATTTCTGTTCTTTTACATTTGCTGAGGAGAGCTTTACTTCCAACTATGTGGTCAATTTTGGAATAGGTGTGGTGTGGTGCTGAAAAAAATGTATATTCTGTTGATTTGGGGTGGAGAGTTCTGTAGATGTCTATTAGGTCTGCTTGGTGCAGAGCTGAGTTCAATTCCTGGGTATCCTTGTTGACTTTCTGTCTCGTTGATCTGTCTAATGTTGACAGTGGGGTGTTAAAGTCTCCCATTATTAATGTGTGGGAGTCTAAGTCTCTTTGTAGGTCACTGAGGACTTGCTTTATGAATCTGGGTGCTCCTGTATTGGGTGCATAAATATTTAGGATAGTTAGCTCCTCTTGTTGAATTGATCCCTTTACCATTATGTAATGGCCTTCTTTGTCTCTTTTTATCTTTGTTGGTTTAAAGTCTGTTTTATCAGAGACTAGGATTGCAACCCCTGCCTTTTTTTGTTTTCCATTGGCTTGGTAGATCTTCCTCCATCCTTTTATTTTGAGCCTATGTGTGTCTCTGCACGTGAGATGGGTTTCCTGAATACAGCACACTGATGGGTCTTGACTCTTTATGCAACTTGCCAGTCTGTGTCTTTTAATTGCAGAATTTAGTCCATTTATATTTAAAGTTAATATTGTTATGTGTGAATTTGATCCTGTCATTATGATGTTAGCTGGTGATTTTGCTCATTAGTTGATGCAGTTTCTTCCTAGTCTCGATGGTCTTTACATTTTGGCATGATTTTGCAGCGGCTGGTACCGGTTGTTCCTTTCCATGTTTAGCGCTTCCTTCAGGAGCTCTTGTAGGGCAGGCCTGGTGGTGACAAAATCTCTCAACATTTGCTTGTCTATAAAGTATTTTATTTCTCCTTCACTTATGAGGCTTAGTTTGGCTGGATATGAAATTCTGGGTTGAAAATTCTTTTCTTTAAGAATGTTGAATATTGGCCCCCACTCTCTTCTGGCTTGTAGGGTTTCTGCCGAGAGATCCGCTGTTAGTCTGATGGGCTTTCCTTTGAGGGTAACCCGACCTTTCTCTCTGGCTGCCCTTAACATTTTTTCCTTCATTTCAACTTTGGTGAATCTGACAATTATGTGTCTTGGAGTTGCTCTTCTCGAGGAGTATCTTTGTGGCGTTCTCTGTATTTCCTGAATCTGAACGTTGGCCTGCCTTGCTAGATTGGGGAAGTTCTCCTGGATAATATCCTGCAGAGTGTTTTCCAACTTGGTTCCATTCTCCACATCACTTTCAGGTACACCAATCAGACGTAGATTTGGTCTTTTCACATAGTCCCATATTTCTTGGAGGCTTTGCTCATTTCTTTTTATTCTTTTTTCTCTAAACTTCCCTTCTCGCTTCATTTCATTCATTTCATCTTCCATTGCTGATACCCTTTCTTCCAGTTGATCGCATCAGCTCCTGAGGCTTCTGCATTCTTCACGTAGTTCTCGAGCCTTGGTTTTCAGCTCCATCAGCTCCTTTAAGCACTTCTCTGTATTGGTTATTCTAGTTATACATTCTTCTAAATTTTTTTCAAAGTTTTGAACTTCTTTGCCTTTGGTTTGAATGTCCTCCCGTAGCTCAGAGTAATTTGATCGTCTGAAGCCTTCTTCTCTCAGCTCGTCAAAATCATTCTCCATCCAGCTTTGTTCTGTTGCTGGTGAGGATCTGCGTTCCTTTGGAGGAGGAGAGGCGCTCTGCGTTTTAGAGTTTCCAGTTTTTCTGTTCTGTTTTTTCCCCATCTTTGTGGTTTTATCTACTTTTGGTCTTTGATGATGGTGATGTACAGATGGGTTTTCGGTGTAGATGTCCTTTCTGGTTGTTAGTTTTCCTTCTAACAGACAGGACCCTCAGCTGCAGGTCTGTTGGAATACCCTGCCGTGTGAGGTGTCAGTGTGCCCCTGCTGGGGGGTGCCTCCCAGTTAGGCTGCTCGGGGGTCAGGAGTCAGGGACCCACTTGAGGAGGTAGTCTGCCCGTTCTTAGATCTCCAGCTGCGTGCTGGGAGAACCACTGCTCTCTTCAAAGCTGTCAGACAGGGACACTTAAGTCTGCAGAGGTTACTGCTGTCTTTTTGTTTGTCTGTGCCCTGCCCCCAGAGGTGGAGCCTACAGAGGCAGGCAGGCCTCCTTGAGCTGTGGTGGGCTCCACCCAGTTCGAGCTTCCCGGCTGCTTTGTTTACCTAAGCAAGCCTGGGCAATGGCGGGCGCCCCTCCCCCAGCCTCGTTGCCGCCTTGCAGTTTGATCTCAGACTGCTGTGCTAGCAATCAGCGAGATTCCGTGGGCGTAGGACCCTCCGAGCCAGGTGTGGGATATAGTCTCGTGGTGCGCCGTTTCTTAAGCCGGTCTGAAAAGCGCAATATTCGGGTGGGAGTGACCCGATTTTCCAGGTGCGTCCGTCACCCCTTTCTTTGACTCGGAAAGGGAACTCCCTGACCCCTTGCGCTTCCCAGGTGAGGCAATGCCTCGCCCTGCTTCGGCTCGCGCAAGGTGCGCACACACACTGGCCTGCGCCCACTGTCTGGCACTCCCTAGTGAGATGAACCCGGTACCTCAGATGGAAATGCAGAAATCACCGTCTTCTGCGTCGCTCACGCTGGGAGCTGTAGACCAGAGCTGTTCCTATTCGGCCATCTTGGCTCCTCCCTCCAAATTGCCTTCTAATGTAGCCATAACATTTTGCATTCCCGCAAAAAATAAATAAATAAATAAGGGTTTCTGTCTACATTCTTGTCAGTAATTGTTAATTCTCAATTTTCAGATTTTAATCAGTCTAATAGGTAGTGCTATCTTACTGTTGTTTATAAATTATTTTTAAATTTCCAGCCTCTGTAATATAGGATTGCACACCAGAAAGTGGTTGGGATGAATACTGAGTGCCAATTGACTATATCTACAATAGGTTACTTGAGTTGCTTGGGGGTACAAAGATAACAACCGGGGCAGTTGTTAACCTCAGTTGGCATTTTCTACAAGACTGAAAATGCATATTAATCAATGTATATAGAGAAATGCTCAAATGGAAATAAAACTTCAAACATCTTTGTGAAAAACAGGGGGAGAAAAACAGCACCTTTTGATATGAGTCAGAGAGTATTTATTAAGCACCTGCTACTCACAAGATATTGTGTTAGACATTGCAGGATATCCAAGGATGACTGTGAAACAATATAGCCCCTTAATAAGTCTGTACATTTCTCAACTTCCAGAAAAACTCCATGGATAAACTTATTTTCTTCCCTCTATTTGGTAAGATATTCGTCCTCTATGTACCCAGAGCATACTGAAATATAAATTGATAAATATGGAATAAGATAAAGGACATAAGCACTTTAGATTTAAATCCAGGTATCATGGCATACAAGCTCTGTGACATTTCATAAAGTTTCTTAACGTCTATGGATTTCTTTTTTTTATTTTTTTAAATATGAATAATACTATATTATGTCTAATGTATTTAAATGTGTGTCTAATGTATTTAATATAGGTAAAATGAATAGTATACAGTATGAGCTTAGAAAATACATCAATTAGCAATATCTTCTAGTTCTATTAATCTAGTATACAAAAACTCTAGTAGCTGCCATAGAGTTAGCTATATGGGATGGGAATGGTGGAGAGAAAACAAGAACCTATCAGGTAGAATTTCATGGAATAATTGAAATTTAATCTGGGCCATAAAATACGAATAAATTCCAACAGGTGGAGTCTGGGAGAATGACATTGTCTAAAGAAGCATTCTCTGTAATAAAACATTTATTTGCATAGAGGTAGAAACAATCTGAACAGTAAAATTTAGACTGTATTTTGGTAAGAAATGTTTCTCATTAATTTTTACTTTTATAAATCACCCACATTAATGACATATGCACATAGTATATTGGAAAGTAATGAGACAAACGATTCTTAAAGAAAAAAAGGAAATGTCACATGATTAAAATAATGGAATATGACAGGAGCAAGCTCTGTTTTAAGAAAATATTCTAAGCTTCCAATTCAGAACTTAAGATGTTTACAACTGAAAGTCATCTTTCATTATCCACCTCACTGGGCACATGTTGGCTTGTTTACTGCCCTGCTACATACAGTCTTCTTTCCAAGAAAAAGTTTGGTAGACAATTTCGGAAATTTAAAGATGAAGCAAGTCAACCCCGACCCCAGGCTAGCCAACTACTCAGAGCATTGAATTTCTAAGATGTCAGAAGCTCCAGGTGTTGCTTGTAGAAATTCACCTAAAGAATTCACCAGCCTAAAAAACATGACTTCCTTTTTATTAGTCTGGAATGGTTTGAAAGGAAACTCTGTCTTTGTGGGCTGACATTTTGGAGAAGTTTGGAGTCCCACAGTAGTTATTACCCTAACCTTTACCAGAGGCAGTGCTTCAGTAGCATACATTAGGTTATTTATTTAATCAATTTCCCTCCTTTAGAATTTACTAATTTTTTCAAATTTGGCCACCAAATTCCTCCCAATGAAACCATCACTTCACTTACTTTTGCTTGTAGTATTAATATTCAAATGGCAGTCTCCAAATTATAAATTGTCTGGGGACACATTTGATATATAGTCATAGTATTACACGAAGTGTTCTGATAGTTATTTTGGACAAAAGATTAAAAATTATTTTACCCTTTAATTTGTAAAAAAATGAGATTATTTTTCAATAACAAAAATGTTATTATATTCAAAAATGATTTTCAGCAGAACATGAGACATGTAACCGATCATGAACTGCCATTAAGTGCAAAATATTTGAAAGATTAATATATGCCTTTCACTTGATTCTAAGGACATTGGTTACATAACAGCTGCATTTGGTCAGGTGATTCTTCAGAGAATATGTTCAAGAACTGTGTGTTTGAATTTAGCTTAATAAAAAATTAGTTACATATGTTAAAATATAGATAGATTATAGATAAACAAAAAAATTAAGGTAGAAAATAGTGCAAATTAAAGTGTTTTTTCCCTTCTCTTTCCATGTTTCTAATTTTATTTACTTTATTTCTTTTGAAACTGAAATATCTAGAATAAAATTTGTTTAAGTTAATGCATAAGCACACAAAATTATTTGGGCCAGAGAGAAAAGTTGTGAGGGCCTGTAGTTACCTTATATATATGCTTGTATGCTAAACTTCTGCTCCTAATAGTGTGTTGCTCCAATGTACTTCTTTTTTTTTTAATTTTATTATTATTATACTTTAAGTTTTAGGGTACATGTGCACAATGTGCAGGTTTGTTACATATGTATTCATGTGCCATGTTGGTGTGCTGCACCCATTAACTCGTCATTTAGCATTAGGTATATCTCCTAGTGCTATCCCTCCCCCTTCCCCCCACCCCACAACAGTCCCCGGAGTGTGATGTTCCCCTTCCTGTGCCCATGTGTTCTCGTTGTTCAATTCCCATCTATGAGTGAGAACATGCAGTGTTTGGTTTTTTGTCCTTGCAATAGTTTGCTGAGAATGATGGTTTCCAGTTTCATCCATGTCCCTACAAAGGACATGAACTCATCATTTTTATGACTGCATAGTATTCCATGGTGTATATGTGCCACATTTTCTTAATCCAGTCTATTGTTCTTGAACATTTGGGTTGGTTCCAAGTCTTTGCTATTGTGAATAGTGCCTGCAATAAACATACGTGTGCATGTGTCTTTATAGCAGCATGATTTATAATCCTTTGGGTATATACCCAGTAATGGGATGGCTGGGTCAAATGTTATTTCTGGTTCTAGATCCCTGAGGAATTGCCACACTGACTTCCACAATGGTTGAACTAGTTTACAGTCCCACCAACAGTGTAAAAGTGTTCCTATTTCTCCACATCCTCTCCAGCACCTGTTGTTTCCTGACTTTTTAATGATTGCCATTCTAACTGGTGTGAGATGGTATCTCCTTGTGGTTTTGATTTGCATTTCTCTGATGGCCAGTGATGATGAGCATTTTTTCATGTGGTTTTTGGCTGCATTAATGTCTTCTTTTGAGAAGTGTCTGTTCATGTCCTTTGCCCACTTTTTGATGGGGTTGTTTTTTTTTTCTTGTAAATTTGTTTGAGTTCATTGTAGATTCTGGATAGTAGCAGGCCAACAGTCAGATTCACCAATGTACTTCTAATATTTTCCTACTGCTAAAAGTAAGAAGAGAAAGTAATAAAAATAAATGTAAAAGCAAAATTTAGGGATTCCTTTTAAGTCCACTACCAGAATATCTCCTCTCGAGGAAAAGATGTGGAAAAATAACACGTCTTCTCAATGTCAGATGGCTACTGTGATAGATTTCTTTGAATTCCAGGGGCCACATGGTGGTTCATAATTACAATATTTGAGCAGTGACTTATCATGGTAGAGGTATTTGGCTATGGCTGTGGTGACATTGAGTAAACTAAAAAGCTACTAGTTTTCAGTGGGGGCCAAAACAAAATAAGGCTCTGCAAAACATCCAGGCTGCTATGGAAACCATACTGCTACTTGGTTCATATGATCAAGAAGAGTTGGGCCGAGCGCGGTGGCTCACGCCTGTAATCCCAGCACTTTGGGAGGCTGAGGCAGGTGAATCACCTGAGGTCAGGAGTTCAAGACCGGGCTGGGCAACATTGTGAAAACCCGTCTCCACTAAAAATACAAAAAACTAGCTGGGCGTAGTGGCAGGCACCTGTAATCCCAGCTACTCAGAAGGCTGATGCAGGAGAATCGCTTGAATCCAGAGCTGGAGGTTGCAATAAGCCGAGATCATGCCACTGCACTCCAGCCCGAGCAACAAGACCAAAAATCTGTCAAAAAAAAAAAAAAAAAAAAAAGAAAAGAAAAAGAAAAAGAAAGAAGAAGAAAGCAGAAGAAAGAAGAAGAAGACTCAATTGTGCTTGACCATGTCAAAGGCAAATAGAGATGCTGTTTGGATCCTTTATCAGGCATCTATAGGTAAATCTCAGTGCTGACTCCTAGGATATTGAGACAAAGCCTTGTCATCCTCTGTAGATAACTACTCTTTTTATGTACAATAGTTCCTGGCCTGTTACTGGGCCTGTATAGAGAAATGGGCACTTAACCATGGGCCACCAAGTTACCATACAACCTGAGCTTCCCATCATAAACTAAGTGTCTTCTGATGACAAAATGAGAGATAGACATAGGGGTCAGAGAGGTGAACACACCACCTACACAATTCCGTTGTAGGATATGGCTTAGATCTGGCCAAATTGATTTTGAACCCTTTTCTGAATTGAAATGCTTCACTTGAATTGAATTAAATGCTTCCTTGAATTGAGCTGTAGGCTTACTGCTTCAGGGAAGAGCTTACCTCAATAAATTTGCACGGTGGCATGGAACGGACAAGCATGTGTGCTTCTTGTGGGCTACCAGTACTTCAAAGACATAATAGAAGAAAAACTTGAATCCTGTATGCTTAATTTTTTTACTCAAACTAATAAATTATATAAATAACTTAGTGAGAAGTCAAGGGTGGAGGAAGCTGAGAGAATACTGAAGTATTTAAAAATAACTACTTTCACATGGAAACGTGAATAATTGGGAAATACATTTCCATGTAATAACTGTATTTTCCCAGAGACATTATGATGAGTCCCATGCTTTTGATTCTCTTTTCAGTGGTGTGGGTAACACTCTAAGAAAAAATAGCCCTGGCCATTTGTGATGATTAATACTGAGTGTGAACTTGATTGGATACAAATTATTGTTCCTTGTTGTGTCTGTGAGGGTGTTGCCAAAGGAGATTAACATTTGAATCAGTGGGCTGGGAAAGGCAGACCCACCCTTAATCTGGGTAGGCACAATCTAACCAGCTGCCAGCATGGCTAGAATATAAGCAGGCAGAAAAATATGAAAAGAGAGACTGGCCTAGCCTCCCAGCCTACATCTTTCTCCTGTACTGGATGCTTCCTGTCCTGAAACACTGGAGTCCAAGTTCTTCAGTTTTGGAACTTGGACTTGCTCTCCTTGCTTCTCAGCCTGCAGATGGCCTATTGTGGGACCTTGTGATCATATGAGTTAATACTTAATAAACTCTTCTCTCTCTCTCTCTCTCTCTCTCTCTCTCTCTATATATATATATATATATATATATATATATATATATATATATATATATATATATATATTCCATTAGTTCTGTCCCTCTAGAGAACCCTGACTAATACACTATTTTTCTCAAATATGCATGTGTGTGTGTTTGAAAAATAAAAGTAAAAACAGAAAGGGTATAAGATAGAGGCCTTTGGTACTATTTTCTCTCTATTAATGCCATTATGTCCCCTGAGAAACATAGTGTTACTAGAATATTGCTATGACTCAAAATGTTGGCCTCCATAGGCACCAACAACACCGGAGCCAGTCTCCTGAGCATATGCTCTCAATATGCCAAATATTGTTGGTTAAAAGATAGTACCAAAGTGTCAAAAGTATCAAATTACTTATGCCAAAGTTGGGACTTTTTGAGATCAGTGCGTTTTATTTAGGTCTTTCATCAGTGTAATTTCATGAAAGGCACTCTCAAATTTCCCATAGCCTTTCAAACTCATATCCCCTCTCAGCTTTGAGTTTATTTCTGTTCCTCCCAGTAATTATAGCACCCCCCTCCACACATACATACCATCCACACTCCCATTACAAGACGCACACACATGCACGCATGGACACATACATTCAGGCTATCATTAAAAGTTCTATATCTCATTCTCTATTCAGAGTACTTCACCCCCTTGCTTTAACTGAAAATTTGATTTTTCTCTCCTTGTACAGTGTATTTTTCTGAATGCTCTCTTGAATGAGTCTATTTATTATGTTCCATGAAGCCAAGGAAGGTGTTGATATTTTCTTATTCTCTCAGGGCTACTTACAAGTTATGAATCTGTTACATTTCTACTATTTTAAAGGCTTATCCCCGTTTGAGATAAACTGGCTACACAATTTTCTATTTTTTTCTCATATTTTCCTTTATTCCTGGAAACTCCCATTCATGCACTGAATTTTGAAAAATCTGGTTAACAGCCTTTATCTCCAGTCAATTACTGTTATATTCCTAGTCAATAACATCCATGAAGAAGACATATTTAATATGAAATCTCACAATTCATTGCATTACCTGATTTCAGTGAACCTCACTTTCTATTAAGTTTAGAATATCTAACCCAAGTTACACTTTGCATCTTCATATTTTTGGTGTATTTCTTAAATCCTAAATTCCTATATCATAGTATGGTAAAGACCATGGTGCTCTGTCTCCTCAGGAACATCACATTAGTTTCATCACCTTCTAGGCCTGTTTTCTACTGACAGCTCTCAGCTGCAGTGCTCCCCAGAAATTTGCCTCAAGCCAAAAAAATTATCCAAGTACATTAGGTATCTTTGCTGCATAAAAAATTACTCTGAAATTTAATGGTTTACTGTTAATAACCCAAGACACTCAGGGTTAGAGGAACTTTATGAATTCCTCATAAAATTTTATGAATGCCACCTTAATGAATGTATCATCCAGGGTCTTCGGTCATATTAGTAATCCAGAGTTAAGCAAGCTCAACGATATTCACTCTTCTACCTGAATACATATGGGGTGAATTTGAATAATTTACAGTTATAAATATGTACTTTAAAAATCAACATATATGAGTAAATTTTATGGTATGTAAACAATATCTCACTAAAGCTGATTTTATTATTATTATTATTATTATTATTATACTTTAAGTTTTAGGGTACATGTGCACAATGTGCAGGTTGGTTACATATGTATACATGTGCCATGCTGGTGTGCTACACCCACTAACTTGTCATTTAGCATTAGGTATATCTTCTAATGCTATCCCTCCCCCCTCCCCCCATCCCACAACAGTCCCCAGAGGGTGATGTTCCCCTTCCTGTGTCCATGTGTTCTCATTGTTCAATTCCCATCTATGAGTGAGAACATGCGGTGTTTGGTTTTTTGTCCTTGTGATAGTTTACTGAGAATGATGATTTCCAGTTTCATCCATGTCCCTACAAAGGACATGAACTCATCATTTTTTATGGCTGCATAGTATTCCATGGTGTATATGTGCCACATTTTCTTAATCCAGTCTATCGTTCTTGAACATTTGGGTTGGTTCCAAGTCTTTGCTATCGTGAATAGTGCCGCAATAAACATACGTGTGCATGTGTCTTTATAGCAGCATGATTTATAGTCCTTTGGGTATATACCCAGTAATGGGATGGCTGGGTCAAATGGTATTTCTAGTTCTAGATCCCTGAGGAATCACCACACTGACTTCCACAATGGTTGAACTAGTTTACAGTCCCACCAACAGTATAAGTGTTCCTATTTCTCCATATCCTCTCCAGCACCTGTTGTTTCCTGACTTTTTAATGATTGCCATTCTAACTGGTGTGAGATGGTATCTCATTGTGGTTTTGATTTGCATTTCTCTGATGGCCAGTGATGATGAGCATTTTTTCATGTGTCTTTTGGCTGCATAAATGTCTTCTTTTGAGAAGTGTCTGTTCATATCCTTTGCCCACTTTTTGATGGGGTTGTTTGTTTTTTTCTTGAAAATTTGTTTGAGTTCATTGTAGATTCTGGATATTAGCCCTTTGTCAGATGAGTAGGTTGCGAAAATTTTCTCCCATTTTGTAGGTTGCCTGTTCACTCTGATGGTAGTTTCTTTTGCTGTGCAGATGCTCTTTAGTTTAATTAGATCCCATTTGTCAATTTTGGCTTTTGTTGCCATTGCTTTTGGTGTTTTAGACATGAAGTCCTTGCCCATGCCTATGTCCTGAATGGTAATGCCTAGGTTTTCTTCTAGGGTTTTTATGGTTTTAGGTCTAATGTTTAAGTCTTTAATCCATCTTGAATTGATTTTTGTATAAGGTGTAAGGAAGGGATCCAGTTTCAGCTTTCTACATATGGCTAGCCAGTTTTCCCAGCACCATTTGTTAAATAGGGAATCCTTTCCCCATTGCTTGTTTTTCTCAGGTTTGTCAAAGATCAGATAGTTGTAGATATGTGGCGTTATTTCTGAGGGCTCTGTTCTGTTCCATTGATCTATATCTCTGTTTTGGTACCAGTACCATGCTGTTTTGGTTACTGTAGCCTTGTAGTATAGTTTGAAGTCAGGTAGCGTGATGCCTCCAGGTTTGTTCTTTTGGCTGAGGATTGACTTGGTGATGTGGGCTCTTTTTTGGTTCCATATGAATTTTAAAGTAGATTTTTCCAATTCGGTGAAGAAAGTCATTAGTAGCTTGATGGGGATGGCATTGAGTCTATAAATTACCTTGGGCAGTATGGCCATTTACATGATACCGATTCTTCCTACCCATGAGCATGGAAGAAAAATAAACAAAAATTAAATTTGTCGGCTTAAAACAATACACATTTCTTATCTTTTGAGATAGAAATCTAGACAATGCTTAGTTTATTCCTTTGCTTCATGATCTCTCCAAAGCATCAATCAAAATGGTGGTCAAGGATGAGATCTCATCAAAAGGCTTGACCAGGGAGGAATTTACTTTTAGTTCACTTATGTAAGTTTTTCTCAATTGATATTATAAACCTTTCTGTGGTGCTCCTGGCATGTGTCCTTCACCCTTTCAGCATATGTCCTTAACTTCTATTTCAATGAAAACAAATGCCATCAGATGTAGTCTACCTCAATCTTCTCATGTGCAGTTGCTAAAGCTTCATGCATCCCTCTTCAATGTTACCCCACCTTTTATTCTAGTCTTAGAAGATAAACTTTCCTTATTCTTGTCTAGAGCTAATTGTTCCATCTGTATCCTTTTGAACATATTCTCCCAAATTCCTAGGCATATCTCCATCAAGTAACTCTCCTTTCACCCCCACAGTCAACATCTCTTCCTCTGCTAGTTTTGCAGCATTAAATTTATATAACTGTCTCCAATCCCATAATCACCTCTATTAACTCTATTTCTTTCTATCAAGTACTTCTAAATACCATATTTAGCTCTCTCTTCTCATTTTAACAAATTTTATTCTTATCATTTCTAATTTCTTATTATCATAATCAATTCCAAGTTGTTTTTACCTCCATCACTCTATTTACTAAAGTCACAAATAAGTCCTGGTTACATCAAGTAGTTACTTTCAACCTATTATTGCATTGGATTTTTTTCTCTATTTGGCTCTGTCAATCAATCACTAACTGTTGAAACTCTCTCTTCTCTGTTCACATGACATCAACTTTCCTGGATACCCTTCTTTCTTACAAGTTCTCCTCAGCCACTTTCATAGGCATAACTCCCTTAAATAGTATTTCTTAAGTGTAGTTATTCCTGAAAAGTTTCCAGAAGTCAAATGGAAACATCTCCTAATGTCTAAAGTTGAAATAATTTGAGCTAAAAAATAGCACTAGTGTTGGTTGTAATCAAAGATTAAAATAAATATCTTTAAAATCATAGTGTAAATAAGCAATCAACAAATAAAGCAAACCTCCTTACAGAACATTACAACTAGTTCATGTAAAATTAATGAGATAATTAGAAAGTGTCATTAAAACACCATAATAATATTTGCTGCAGCCAACATACATTGATGAATAATAAAAATTAGTGGGTAAAACCTTAAGGAGAAATAAGATATGTGCATAACCTCAAAGTATCCCCCTCAAAATAATTACTAGTTACTGTGGTAGTTTTAACATACGTCCACACATTCTTTGATTCTCTTCCTTCCAGGAGGTAAGCTGGACTTCCCTTCTTTTGAGTGTGGATTAACTTAATTACTTACTTCCAAAGAATAGCATATGGGAAGGAAAACATAGTTTTACCGTGAAGAAATTTAACAGATATCAGCTTAAATGATCAAGGTTAGCATCACTGGTGACAAATTATGTTAATATCACATAATCTCTGATAATACATAATGAGAAGGCACTTCATTTCTGTGGTGCTTTTCTCTGAAACCCACAATCCCAATGTAATTATGAGAAAGCATCAGTCAAACTCAAACCGAGAAACACTCCAAAATTCACTTTTCAAGTATCAGGAACATAATAAGGAAAGATACACAAACTGTCACAGAACAAAGGAGACTAAGTAAACATGATAAAGCAATGTGGTAGGTATCCTAGATTGAATATTGCAGCAGCAAAAAGACAGTTGTAAAAACAGCCAAGTGAAATCCATATCAAGCCAATAGTTTTATCATCAGGATTATACCAATGTTAATTTATCTATTTTGATAAATGTATCATAATTATGCAATTTTTTAAAAAAAGAGTAATTATTCCCCAATGATTCATCTTCTACTTAACAACTCTTATCATTCTACATGTTCTTGGGCAACATAATTCAACAAGATGATCTCAAATACCATTTATATGCTAATAACCCCCAAATCTCTATTATCATTCCAGAACTTTTGCCTGGACTTCAAATTTAATAAAATTTCTTTAATAAAGAAGTAAGCAAATAAATGAATAAATATAAGGATAAATATATTTATACGAATAAATATAATCTTTAAAGGCTCAACTGAAATGTTTTTAAGAAAAATTAAGAGCAGTAGCGTTTTGTAGTAAAAAGAAGTCAGGATTAGGAGCAAGAAACTAGGGTTTTGTCTTACATATCCACTCTTATCCATGTTAGTTGAATAAACTGTATCAAATATATAATCTTATGTTTTCTTATTTCAAAAACAATAATGATAATGTAATCTAACATAAAATTTTATAAAAAATAAATAAGTCAATTTATTTAAAAGCACTCTGTAAAGTGATAAGTTCTATGTAAATGTTACCTACTATCCTTATCAGTCTACAGTTGGCTCCAACTAAGTCATAAAGTAGCCTATTTCACTTTAAAATTTTGGCCCACCAAGTTTTATTAAAGCCAGTCATGTTTATTTGGTAATTATTGCTCTATAGGACTAATTGCAGACACAAGAGGTTAACAGCATCTGCTAGGATAGTTGACGGCAAAATTACCCAGGTGTACCTTGTTTTGAAGGTGCAATTAGCTGCCTATGAAACTAATTGAGGACATAAAAATGGGGAAAAATTGGGCTTGGTTAAGGTCTCAAAGCCTTCATTTGAATCTCCTGTCATTGGAGAATAGTCTTCAAATGGGTACTCTTCATGATTCTACACATTACTTAGTAAGAACGTAGTAGCTGCTGTTCTTCAAAGATAGTAAATGTCTTTAAAGAAACTTCAAGGAGCTTCAATGCTCAGAAGCTCCAGTCACTAGGTGTTAGAAATGTCTTGTATCAAAAGTGCCTCAGAAAGCTTTCCTTAGTTTTTTCAAAAATCTCAACATAATCACTAGACATAAAATATAAATAAAAGTTCAATCAAAGTAAAAAAATAAAACTTCAATCTTGGTTCCAGTACCTCTTAGTTGGGTAATCTTTGAACAATTAACTTCCTCCTGTGTAAAATGTAATCATGAGACTAAGCTTGCTTAATTGTTATGAAAATGAGACAATATATTTTAAAACTTTTTTAAAATACCACTGTTTGAGTGGGTTATTGTTATAAACTGTCCGTATGTAGGACCTTTTCTATCTTGAGGTATTTTATTTTAGGCATGTCCCCTAAAGAGACAGTTTTCTTATTGACATCCAGAAAATGACCATAGGAGAGACCCATTTCATTTCCAGAATTCCAGTTATGAAATAACATTAGCCCTGTGCCTAAAATAAATTAAAAAGGTGATGTCAAATCCACATAATCTAGCACCTCACAGCATTAAAAACCCTGTTCATACCCCAGAACATCATGCTGATTCTTCTGTATATTAGGCATTCCATAGAAAACAAACCTCTGAATTTTCACCCTATAATAGGCAGATAGACCTATCATGTGCTTCAAGTGTTTTCAGTGCTGGAAGAGACCTTATATATCATGCTATTTTGTACTCATTTTCAGGATAGAAAAACTGAAGCCGAGAAAAGTTGAATGGCTTTCTCAAGGTCAAATTTTATCTCCGAGTTGCAACCAAGATGCATATTCCTTGAATTCCTGCCAGAAGCACTTTCAACACAATTAAGATATGCTCAGTGTGTTAAAATGTTTTAATCTAGGACTTTTGCCTCTAGAAAATAAAACATGTTTACTATTATAGTTTAGTTCTAGGATGTATTATAGCTCTGCTGATGGTTGTAACTATCGCTCCCAGCAAATAATCTTCTTGGATAATTTGGAAGTGATATAACTTATAGACAAGAAAAGGAATATAGAAGTATTTTATAAGTTGTAAAACCTTATGGATCCTACTACTGCTACTACTACTAAAATAATAATAAGTAAACATTTTTTGAGCACTTTTATGTCTAAGTCACTGAGAAAACTCATTTTTAAAATTATACTTTAAGTTCTGGGGTACATGTGCAGAACGTGCAGAATTGTTACACAGGTATACACGTGCCATGGTGGTTTGCTGCACTCATCAACCCGTCATCTACATTAGGTGTTTCTGCTAATGCTATCGCTCCTATGGAATACTATCCTGCATAGTATTCCATGGTATATATGTGCCACATTTTCCTTATCCAGTCTATCATTGATGGACATTTGGGTTGGTTCCAAGTCTTTGCTATTGTGAACAGTGCTGCAGTAAACATATGTGTGCATGTGTCTTTATAGTAGAATGATTTATAATCCTTTGGGTATATACCCAGTAATGGGATTGCTGGATCAAATGGTATTTCTAGTTCTAGATCCTTGAGGAATCGCCACACTGTCTTCCATAATGGTTGAACTAATTTACACTCCCACCAACAGTGTAAAAGCGTTCATATTTCTCCACATCCTCTCCACCATCTGTTGTTTCCTGACTTTATAATGATCACCATTCTGTCATGAGATGGTATCTCATTGTGGTTTTGATTTGCATTTCTCTAATGACAAGTGATGAGCTTTTTTTCATATGTTTGTTGGCTGCATAAATGACTTCTTATGAGAAGTGTCTGTTCATATCCTTCTTTTTTTCTTTTCTTTTCTTTTTTTTTTTTTTGAGATGGAGTCTCGCTCTGTCACCCAGAGTGGAGTGCAGTCGCGTGATCTCTGCTCACTGCAAGCTCCGCCTTCCAGGTTCACACTATTCTCCTACCTCAGCCTCCCAAGTACCTGGGACTACAGGAGCCCACCACCACTCCCAGCTAATTTTTTGTATTTTTAGTAGAGATGGGGTTTCACCATGTTAGCCAGTATGGTCTCGATTTCCTGACCTTATGATCTGCCCGCCTCGGCCTCCCAAAGTGTTGGGATTACAGGCGTGAGTCACGGTGCCTGGCCCCTTCACCCACTTTTTGATGGGGTTGTTTTTTTTCTTGTAAATTTGTTTAAGTTCTTTGTAGATTGTGGATATTAGCCCTTTGTCAGATGGATAGATTGCAGAAATTTTTTCCCATTCTGTAGGTTGCCTGTTCACTCCGATGATAGTTTCTTTTGCTGTGCAGAAGCTCTTTAGTTTAATTAGATCCCATTTGTCTATTTTGGCTTTTGTTGCCGTTGTTTTTGATATTTTAGTCATGAAGTCTTTGCCCATGCCTATGTCCTGAATGAATGGCATTGCTTAGGTTTTCTTCTAGGGTTTTTATGGTTTTAGTTCTTACGTTTAAGTCTTTAATCTGTCTTGAGTTAATTTTTGTTTAAGGTGTAAGGAAGAGATCCAGTTTCAGCTTTCTGCATGTGGCTAGCCAGTTTTCCCAGCACCATTTCTTAAATAGGGAATCATTTCCCCATTGCTTGTTTTTCTCAGGTTTTTCAAAGATCATATATTTGTAGATGTGTGGGATTATTTCTGAGGCTTCTCTTCTGTTTGATTGGTCTATCTGTTTTGGTACCAGTACCATGCTGTTTTGGTTATTGTAGCCTTGTAGTATAGTTTGAAGTCAGGTAGCATGATGCCTCTGGCTTTGCTCTTTTAGCTTAGGATTGTCTTGGCTATGCGGGCTCTTTTTTGGTTCTATATGAAATTTAAAGTAGTTTTTTCCAATTCTGTGAAGAAAGTCAATGGTAGCTTGATGGGGATAACATTAAATCTGTAAATTACTTTGGGTAGTATGGCCATTTTCATGTTATTGATTCTTCCTATTCATGGGCATGGAATGTTTTTCCATTCGTTTGTGTCCTCTCTTATTTCCTTGATAAATGGTTTGTAGTTCTCCTTGAAGAGGTCCTTCACATCCCTTGCAAGTTGTATTCCTATGGATTTTATTCTCTTAGTTGCAATTGTGAATGGGAGTTCAACTCATGATTTGGCTCTCTGTTGGTCTGTTATTGGTGTATAGGAATGCTTGTGATTTTTGCACATTGACTTTTTTATCCTGAGACTTTGCTGAAGTTGCTTACCAGCTTAAGGAGATTTTGGGCTGAGATGATGAGGTTTTCTAAATATACAATCATGTCATCTGCAAACAGAGACAATTTGACTTCCTCCTTTCCTATTTGAATACCCTTTATTTCTTTCTCTTGCCGGATTGCTCTGGCCAGAACTTCCAATACTATGTTGAATAGGACAAAGATTTCATGATATAGACACCAAAAGCAATTGCACCAAAAGCAAAAATTAACAGGGATCTGGTTAAACTAAAGAGCTTCTGCACAGCAAATGGAACTATCAACAGACTAAACAGACAACTTACAGAATCGAAGAAAATTTTTCAAATTGTGTATCTGACCAAGGTTTAATATTCAGCATCTATGAGAAACTTAAACAAATTTACAATTAAAAAACCCCATTAAAATGTGGACAAAGGTTATGAACAGACACTTCTTAAAAGAAGACATACATGAAGCCAACAATCATATGGAAAAAAGCTCAACATCACTGTTCATTAGAGAAATGCAAATCAAAATGACAATGAGATACCATTTCACACCAGTCAGAATGGCTATTGTTAATAAGTCAAAATAACAGATACTGGTGAGGGTGCAGAGAAAAAAGAACGTGTTTACACTGTTGGTGGAAGTGTAAATTAGTTCAAGCATTGTGGAAGACAGTGTGGAGCTTCCTCAAAAATCTGGAGACAGAAATACCATTTGACTCAGCAATCCCATTACTGGGTATGTACTCAAAGGAATATAAATTGTTCTATTATGAACTCACATGCATACATATGTTCACTGCAGCACTATTCACAATAGCAAAGACAAAGAATCAACCTAAATATCCATCAGTGATAGACTGGATAAAGAAAATGTGGTACATATAGACCATGGAATACTCTGCAGCAATAAAAAAGGAACAGGATTATGTTCTTTGTAGGGACATGGATGAAGCTGGAGGCCATTATCCTCAGCAAAATAACACAGGGACAGAAAACCAAATAAAACATGTTCTCACTTATAAGTGGGAGCTAAATGATGAGAGCATATGGACACATAGAGGGGAACAATGCAAACTGGCACCTATTGGAGAGTGGAGGGTGGGAGGAGTGAGAGGATCAGAAAAAAATAACTAACTGATACTACACCTGGTTAGTGAAATAATCTGTACAACAAACCCCCATAACTCACATTTACCTATGTAACAAACCTTCACATCCTGTGCATGTACCCCTGAACTTAAAAGTTAAAAAACAATTAACCATAGGCAAGATGAAGACACTCAAAGAAATGATCTGGCACAGAAAATAAATCTAGATCTGGATTCTGAAACTTATCTGATCTGACAAGCATTTACCCTATGTTGATGTATCCTAGGGAGTTCCAGTTTTCCAGGAGAAGCGCCTTGGTGGCCCGCACAACAGTAAGAGGCTCAGACAAGTGGGTATTTACCAACTAGTGCAGAAGTATTTCAAATTTTATCAGCTATTGATAGAATTATACGCATGAATACTAGCTGAATATTATCCCTTAAAGATGCCATGAGTCAGGTTTTTTCTTTCCATGATGAGAATCAAGGCTGAGAATATAAAGAAGAGTGACTTAGAAGTAGAACGGAAAAACAAACTTAGAGCTTTTCTTGGGGAGAGGGCTGGAAAAAGATGAGACACTAGAATAAAAAAGATTAGATATGACAAAGAGCCCCAGAAAGGATAAATATAGGAAGCAGAGACAAATATTTTATTTCAAAATGTTGCCAGGGGCAGGTCTTGCTTACCTCTTTTCTTCTTCTCAGAAGTTTCATAGCACTACACCTTAAAAAGTGAAAAAGAGAGAGGGAAAGACACGGTGGCAATAGCATAAGACTCTCTAAAAACTCATTCTTTAACAAACCTTCTCAGGTCTATCACAATTTGTCAAGGAAGGGAAGGAAGAATATTCCTCTTTCCCAGTTTTCTCTCTAATTTTTTAAGGAAGTCATGCTGAGTAGTATAGGGCATTGCTCCTTCTCATCCTTTGTAGAAAGTGACATAATATTTTTAAAACATATTTTGTATTCTTAGTTGGGAAATAATTCAGAAATCTTTAGTTCAAAATCTTCCTTTGACAGATGAGTAGGCTGTGCCAGCAAGAAAGGGAAGTATCTAAGTCACACAACTGGTAATTGGCAGAACCCAGACTGAAACCCAGGTGTCTTGAAACCTAGTCTAATTTGCTTCCTTACTACCCCAGGTAGCTTCTCTCTGGATCAAATTTTCACAGCTGTCAGCTGCAATTTACTAACAGTTATTCCTGTTATCAAGGTTATTTATGGCAGTGAATTACATTCTTTTTGTCCAGTAGCCCAATTCCACGAATTTTAAGGCATTTTTTGTGGATACGTTTCTGACACTAAGGCAATTTGTGAGTTGACCTCCAATATGCTAAACCAATTCCATAGTCCTGTAAGAAAACTTTTGAATGACTGGTGCCCATTTTAAAATACTAAGGCAGCATGCAATTGTAGCCTGGAATGTAAATGTAATTGATGGTTTTCATCATTTATAAAAACATACCTTCACTTCAGATAGTGAACCATAAAGTAGAAGACCATGAAGAAATAGAGTCCTGGCAAATGAGAAATAAACAGATGCCACAATTTATAGTGTTACTAATGGATACTCTCTGTTAACACTGCAATAGCCACCAAATCTATACCATGGGGGATACATTTTACTTTTGTCTGTTATCTGTCAGAATTTTACCAATTTCAGCATTTATAATGTCTATGAATATTTACTGCACTACTTTGAGTATCATAGTAATCACGTTTTATATATTTCATCACTCAACTCGTTATTTAATAGTTTATTTGAAGTTAGAGTCATTGTCACAACAATTTTTCACATTAAACACACATCCCAAAACTAAGTCAGTAATGGCCCAGACTAAATTACTTATCTCAAGTTAACCACTCACTCTGGGGTACTTTATTTAGCTATAATAATAGCAATAATTTGCATATTTATAATGTATTAAAATTATAAAAATTGTGTTTTATGTGCATATCCCCAACATATTGTTTTTTAAATAAAAACATATTGAGCTATAATTTAAATATCATAAAATTCACCCTTATAAAGTATACAATTGAGTCAAATTTAGTATATTCAAACAGCTGTGCAATCATCACCACTATCTAATTCCAGAACATCTTCACCACCCCAAAAAGAAATTCCTTAGGCTTTAGCAATCATTCCTTATCTGACCCTCCCCACAGCTCTTAGTAATCAATAATCTACTTTCTGACTCTATGGCTTTACCCGTTCTGAACATTTCATATACAGCCATCCCTCGGCATCTGTAGGGGATTGCTTTCAGGATCTACTGAAGATACTAAAATCTGTGGATAATTTAGTCCTTTATATAAAATGTTATAGTGTTTGCATATAATCTATGCACATCCTCCCATATACTTTAAATAATCTCTAGATTACTCATAATACCTAATACAGTGTAAGTGTTGTATAAACAGTTGTTATATTTTACTGTTTATGGAATAATGAGAAACAAAGGTCTATATGTGTTCAGAATGAATAAGACCATCGTAGCCCTAACTACAGTTTCAATCCATGCTTAGTTGAATTAACAGATGGCAGAATCCACGGATATGCAGGGCCAACTGTAAATGGGGACACAGAGTACGTGATGTTTTGCTTTTAGCTTCTTTCAACCAGTGAGGTTTCAAGGTTCATCCATGTTGTAGTATGTATCACTTTATTACTTTTTAGTACCAAATAATATTCCATTGTATGGATATGTTACATTTTGTTTTTGTCATCTTTTTAAGGACATTTGGGTTGGTTCCACTTTTTGGCTATTCTGAATGATAGCTTTGCTATGAACATTTATGTGTAAGTTTTTTTATGATCATATGTTTTTATTTCTCTTAGGTATATAATTAAAGGGGAATTGTTTTGCTATATGGCAATTCTGAAGTTAAACATTCTATGAAACTGCCATAATGTTTTTAAAAAAGGCTGCAGCATTTTATATTCCCACTAGTAATGTATAATGATTCCTGTTTCTCCACATCCTTGTCAACAGTTGTTATTGTAACAATTGTATATGTAACATGTATTTCAGACATTATTCATTCATACATAAATAATATAACATAAAATATAGCTATTATAGTCAGGTGTGAAGTAGTAATTCATTGTAGTTTTGATTTGTCTGACTCTAAAGTGATGTTGAATATCTTTAAATTCATCGATTTTTAATTGCCTTATATGTAATTTTGTTTTTGAGTTTTAAAGCTTCTTTCTAAATTTTGGATAACAGACATGTATCAGATAAGTGATTTGCATGTCATGATGATTTTGAAGAATGACTTTTTTTTTTTTTTTGAGACAGAGTTTCTCCCTTGTTGCCCAGTCTGGAGTGCAGTGGCGTGATCTCGGCTCACCACAACCTCTGCCTCCTGGGTTCAAGTGATTCTCCTGCCTCAGCCTCCTGAGTAGCTGGGATTACAGGCATGTGCCACCACACCCGGCTAATTTTGTATTTTTAGTAGAGACGGGGTTTCTCCATGTTGGTCAGGCCGGTCTTGAACTCCCAACCTCAGGTGATCCACCCGCCTCGGCCTCACAAAGTGCTAGGATTACAGGCATGAGCCACCGCACCCAGCCAAATAATAATATTTTTAAAATTTTGATGAAATACAATTTATCAATTTTTATTTATTTTATACTTTTGGAGTCATATTTAAGAACTATTGCCTTATCCAAAATTAACATCTATATATTCTTTTAAGACTTTTAAAATTTTGGCCCTTACATTCAGGTCTATTATGTATTTTGGGTTAATTTTTGTATATGATGTAAGGAAAAGGCTCAATTTCATTCTTATGCCTGTGAAAATACAGTTTTTTTCTAGCACCATTTATTGAAGAAAACATTTCCCCCATCGAATTGTCTTGGCACCACTCTTGAAAATCAATTGACCATGTGCAGATACCCTAAAACTTAAAGTTTAATAAAAAAAAAGAAAGAAAGAAAAAAGAAAGAAAATCAATTGACCATAAATGTTAGGGTTATTTCTAGATTCTCAAATCTAATCCATTAATTTATATTGTCTACCACTATGCCTGTAACACAATCTTTCTTTAGTAGTAAATTTTGAGGTTAATAAGTGGGGGTCTTCCACTTTGTTCTTATTTTCAAGATTGTTTTGCTTATTCTGGATCCCTTGCACTTTCATATAAATTTTATGATTAACCATATCTATAAATAAATTAACCATATTTATAAATAAATAATTTGAGCATCTATGAAAAAAGAGATTGTCTTGTTAATTTCTGCAAAAAAAGACAAAAGGAATTGTGATATTAACTACATTGAATCTGAAAGTCAATTGGGAAAATATTGTTATCTTAACAGTATCTAATAGTATTACATCTTCCATTCTATGAACATAGAGCATCTTTCCACACATTTAGCTATTCTTTAATTTTTTCCAACAATGTCTTTTTTTCACTTTTAGAATATAAGTTTAACATTTATTTTTTAACTATGCCTTTTTGATGCTATTGTAAATAGAATTGTATTCTTAATTTTAATTTTGAATTATTTGTTGCTATTGTATAGAAATACAATTCATTTCTGTATACTAATAATGTACTCTATAAATTTCCTAAATTTATTAATTTTAGTTGTTATGTGTGTATTTACTGGGTTTTTCTATATACAAGTTGGTGTTATCAGCAAGTAGAAATACCTTGGCTTCTTTCTTTATCTGATGTCTTTTATTTATTTTGTCCTTACCTTCAGTACAGGCTGAATGGAAAGTGAGAGCAGAAATCCTAGTCTTGCTCCTCCTGGTCATAGGGTCAATGTTTTCAGTCTTTCCTCTTTAATTATGATGTTAATTCCTATTTTTTTATAGATGCCATCCACCAGGTTGAGGAAGTTCCCTTCTAGTCCTAGTTTGCTGAGTGTTTTTATTGTGTAAATTTATTGAATTTTATAAAATGATTTTTCTGCTTATTTTTATAATCATGTGATTTTTGCCCTCTCTTTGGTTAACACGGTGTTATACATTAATTGATTTTCAGATGCTAATCTAAGCTTGCATTCTAGGAATAAATCTCACTAGATTATGGTGTATAATTATTTTAATATATTGTTGAACTATATTTTTCTAATATTTTGTTAAATATTTTCTATCTATAGCTATGAGGTATATTGGCATATAATTTTCTGATATTTTTGTCAATTTTATTAATTCGTTTCATCTCTTCTAGTTTAAAAAATGTTTAGGATTGATATTAATTTTTCTTCAAATATTTGGTAGAAGTAATCAGGGAAACCATGTAGATCTATGCTTTCTCTGTGGGAAGTTTCTGAATTTGCTAATTCAGTCTCTTCATTTTTACAGATCTGTTCATATGTTCTATTTCTTTTTGAATAAATTTTGGTAGCTTATGTATTTGTATATTTAATCTAGGTTATCTAATTGGTTGGCATATAATTGTGCACAATATTCCATCAAAATACTATTTATTTCTGTAAGGTTAATAGTGATATATTTTCTTTCATACCTGAACTCATTAATTTTAGTCTTCTCTCATTTTTTCCAATTGTTTTCCTATTCTCCTTTCATTTATTTTTGCTCTAATAGTTATTATTATTCCCTTTCATCTGCTAAATTTGGGTTTAGTTTATTCTACTTTTTCTAATTTCTTAAGATAAAAATCTAGGGTATTGATTTGATATTATCCTTCCTTTTTAAACATAGGCAGAAGCTATAAATTTCCTCTAACTACTGCTTTGGCTGCATCCCTTAAATTTTGGCATGCTGTGGCTTATTTTTATTTATCCAAAGGTATTTTCTATTTTTTCCTGTGATTTATGGCTTAATCTGTTCTTTATTTATGATTATATTGTGTAATTTCCACAAACTTGTGAATATTTGTGATTTTCTTTTGTTATTAATTTATAATGTTTTTATTGTGTTTAGGGAACATCCTTTGTGTGGTATCAATCCTTTTCATTGGTGTATTAGATTCCTGCATTCAAATTTGATTTTCATGCCTCCCTGAAAGTGCTTGTGTTATAATCAAGTTGATCATTTATTTTCTGAGTCTCAGTTTCCTCATTTATAAAATAAAAATTCATAATGTTATAAGCCTAACACAGTTTGTAAAGGGTTGAATGATATAACAGTATACTTCCAAGCACATTATAAGCTAAAAATTATGTATTATTTTTATGGCTTGTCAGTAATTGGAGTTCATTTTTTTTAATTTGTGAAGAATTTTATATGCTATGAATATTCTATGAAAATATTAGTTGCTAAGGAGGTCGAGCAATATGCCTGAACAAAATCCTCCACCAATTGTCCTCCCTACAGGAACACCAAGTTGAAAAGCTGTCGACACACACACACACACACACCCTCATAAGAAACAAAAATCCAGCAAGTGATCACAGTACATATTTTTAACTTCACATCACTGAAAGAGGCCCTGAAAAGACTATGGAAGATAGTCTTTTATTTCTGATGCCACCTCTTTATCATCCCCTAGCAGAATCCACATGACATAGAAAGACTATCTGTGTGCTTTGGGGAGAGAGAGTGCAGTGATTATGAGACTTTGCTTTGGAATTCAGTGCTCCCATGTCACAGCAGAAAGCAACACTAAGCAGAACTCAGCCAGTTCCCATCTGAGGAGCACTTAGAGAAACCTTAGCCAGAAGAGAATTGCCCACCTCAGTGGTCAGAACATGAGTTCTGGCAAGCCTCACCACCATAGGCTAAAAGGTTCTGGGTTGTTAAAGAAAGCTGAAAGGCAGTATAGGCCACAGGGACTGCAATTCCTAGGCAAGTCCTAGCAATGTGCTGGGCTCAGAGTCAGAAAAGTATGGGGAACATGACCTAGTGAGAAACAAGTCACGTGACCAAGGGAGTACTTGTGCCACACCTCCCCAAACCCCAGGCAGCACAGCTTGCAGCTCCGGAGAGACTCTGTACTTTCACTTGAGAAGAGGAGAGAGTAAGGAGAACTTCAGCTTGCAACTTGGATACCAGCTCATCCACAATAGGATAGGGCACCAGCCAGAGGCCTAAGGCCACCATTCCAGGCCTTAGTCCCTAAAAACACATTTCTAGACCCACCCTTTGCCAGAAGAGAACCAGATGCCTTGAAGGGAACAACCCAGTCCTGGCAGCATTCATCATCTACTTACTAAAAAGCTCTTGGGCCCTAAATAAGCAGCAGTGGTACCCCAGCAGTACTCACCATGAGCCTTGGGTGAGACTCAGAAATGTTGCTTCAGATGTGACCCAGAACATTCCCAGCTATGGTGGCTTTGGTGAGGGATTTCTTCTTCTTGAGAAAAGGAGAGGGAAGCATAAAGGGGACTTTGTCTTGCAGCTTAGGTACCAGCTCAGCCACAGTGGGGTGGAGCAACAAGTGGGCACTTGGGATCTCTGATCGCAGGCCTTGGCTTTTGCATGATATTTTTGAGCCTGCCCCAGGCCAGAGGAGAGCCCACTGCCATGAAGGGAGAGATCCAGCCTGCGCAGCATTTACCACAAGCTGAATGAAGAGCCATGGGCCTTGCGGGAACATCGGTGGTAGCCAGGCAGTACTCACTGAGGGCCTGGGACAGTGACATACATTGTGGAAAAGGGAAACAAGCATGGAAAGCACTTGATCTTGTGGCTTGGGTGTCATCTCAGGTGCAGAAAAATAAAGCACCAGGTAGATTCCTAAGGTTTCCAACTCCAGGCCCTGGCTCCTGGATGGCATTTCTGGACCTGCCTGGAAATAGAGGGATTTTGCTGTATTGTAGAGAAAAACACAAGCCTGGGTGGCTTCACCATCTAATGGTTGTAGAATCCTAGGCCCTTGAGCAAACATAGGTGGTAGCAAAGCAGGTGTTACCATGGGCCTTGGGCAAGACTGAGTGTTGTGTTGGCTTCAAGTCTGACCCAACACAGTAACAGTTGTGCTTGTGTTAACCCTCCTCATTCTCCAGGCAGCTCAGTATGTAGAGAGATTCCATTTGTCATGGAGAAACTAAGGGAAGAGAAAAAGAGTATTTGCCTGGTGATCAAGAGAGTTCTTCTGGATTTTATCCATAACCACCAAGGTGATAGCTCTATGAGTATGCAAGAGCCACAGTGTTACTGGATGTAGGGTACCCCCTAATGCAGATAGGCTGCAATAATCAAAAACTTAGATCACAACATTCAAGTTTCTTTGAATACCTGGAAAGCCTTTCCAAGCCCAGACTTAGAAGATTACAGTAAATACACAATTCATCAATGCCCAAACACTGACAAACATCCATAAGCATCAAGGACATTAAGGAAATTATGACCTCCCCAAATGAAAAAAGTAAAAGGCACCATCATCCAACCCTGAAGAGATAAGAGATATGTGACTTTTCAGACAGAAAATTCAAAATACTGTTTTGAGGAAACTCAAATAAATTCACAATAACACAGAGAAGGAATTCAAAACACTATCAGATTAATTTAACAAAGATATTAAGATAGTTTTCAAAAATAAAGCAGAAATTCTGGAGCTGAAAAATGCAACTGGCATATGTAAGAGTGAATCAGATTCCCTTAATAGCAGAATTGATTAAGCGAAAGAAAAAAATTACTGAGCTTGAAGATTGGCTATTTGAAACACATGGTCAGAGAAGACAAAATAAAAAGAATAAAAATCAATGAAGCATGCCTATAGGATCTATAAAATAGCCTCAAACAGGCAAATCTAAGAGATATTGATCTTAAAAAGCTGGTAGAGATAGAGATGGGGTAGAAAGTTTATTCATAGAGATAATAACAGAGGACCTCCCAAACCTAGAGAAAGATATCAATATTAAAATACAAGAAGGTTGTATAACACCAAGAAGATTTAACCCAAAGGAGACAACCTCATGGCATTTGATAATCAAACTTCCAAAAGTCAAAGAAAATAAAAGGATTCTAAAAGCAGTAAAAGAAAACAAACAAATAACATACAATGGAGCTCCAATAATTCTGACAGCAGACCTTTCAGTGAAAACTTTACAGGCCAGGAGAGTGGCATGACATATTTAGATTGCTGGATAGAATATCCAGTGGAAATATCCTTCAAACATGAAGGAGAAGAAGGAATTTCACAGACAAACAGAAGACGAGGGACTTCATTAACACTAAACATGTTCTATAAGAAATGTTAAAAAGAATTCTTCAATCTGAAAGAATAGGATGTTAATGAGCAATAAGAAATCATCTGAAGGTAAAAACTCACTGGTAACAGTAAGTACACAGGAAAACACAGATATTGTGACACTGTTATTGTGCTGTGTAAACTACTCGTATCTTGAGTAGAAAAACTACAAGATGAACCAATAAAAAAAACTACAACAACTTTTCAATATATGCACAGTACAATAAGGTATAAATAGAAACAATTAAAGGTTAAAAAGTAGGGGGATAAGTTAAAGTGTAGAGTTTTCTATTAGTTTTCTAGTTTTCTCTTTGTCAGTTTATTAGTTTGTTTATGCAGTCAGAGTGAAGTTATTATTTTAAAATAATGGGTTATAAGATATTATTAATAAGCACCATAGTAACGTCAAATCAAAAACCGTACAACAGACACAAAAAAGCAATAAACTAAAACATATCACAAAAGAAAATTAACTATACTAAATGGAAGACAAAAATGAAGAAAAGAAGGAAGAAAAGACCACAAAACAAATAGAATACAAATAACAAAATGACAGAAATAAGTCACCACTTATTAATAATAACTTTGAATGCAAATGGACTAAACTGTCCAATAAAAAGACATAGAGTGGTTGAATGGATATAAAAACAATATGGCTAATTATCTGTTGCCTACAGTAAACACACTTCACCTATGAAGACACACATAGATTGAAAATGAAGGGATGGAAAAAGACACTCCATGCCAATGGAAACCAAAAAAGAGCAGGAGCCACTAAAATTATCTCAAACCATACAGATTTAAAGACAAAAACTACAAAAAGACAAAGGACGCCATTATATGATGATAAAGTGGCCAATTCAGCAAGAAGACATAACAACTATAAGTATACATGTACCTAACACAGGAGCACCCAGATATATATAATATAATACCAATAGAGTTAAACAGAGAGATAGTTACCAATACAATAATGCCTAGAGACTTCAACACCCCATTTTCAGCATAGGACAGATAATCTGCACAGTAAATCAACAAAGACACATTGGACTTAATTTGCACTATAGGCAAAATGGGCTTTATAGATATTTACAGATCATTTCATCCAACAGCCGCAGAATACACATTCTTCTCCTGAGCATAGGAATTATTCTTAAGGATAGACTATATATGAAAACACAAAAGAAGCATGAAAAAAATTCTAAACATTGAAATTATATCAATTATCTTTGGCCCCGAAGAATAAAACTAGAAATCAATAACAAGAGGAATTTGGGAACCTATAACACTTGAAAATTAAACAACATGCTCCAAATGACCAGTGGGTAACTGAAAAAAAAAGAAATAGAGAGAACATTAAATTTTTTTGAAACAATTAACAATGGAAACAAAACCTACCAAAACCAATGGAATACAGAGAAAAGAGTACTAAGAGGAAAGGTTATAGTTTTATACATGAAAAAAGTAGAAAAACTTCAAATAAACAACCTAATAGTGCATCTTAAAAAACTAAGGAAGCAAAAACAAACCAAGCCCAAAATTAGTAGAAGAAAAGAAATATTAAAGATCATGGCAGAAATAAATGAAATTGAAACAAAGAAAACAATACAAAAGGTCGATGAAACAAAAAGTTGGGCTTCTTCCCTTTTTTATCTTTTCTCTTATTTTCTTTCTTTCTTTCTTTCTTTTTTTTTGACAGTGTCTCACTCTGTCACCAAGTTTGGAGTGCAGTGGCATGATCTCAGCTCACTGCAACTTCTGCCTCCTAGGTTCAAGCAATTCTCATGCCTCAGCCTTCCCAGTAGCTGGGATTACTGGCATGCAAACAACACATCCAGCTAATTTTTGTATTTTTAGTAGAAACGGGATTTCACCATGTTGGCCAGGCTGGTCTCAAACTCCTGGCCTCAAGTGATCTGCCTGCCTCGGCCTCACAAAGTGCTGGGATTATAGGCGTGAGCCACTCTGCTCAGTCAGAAGTTGGTTTTATTGAGAGATAAACAAAATTAACAAACCTTTAGTCAGAGTAAGAAAAAACATAGAAGACCCAAATAAATACAATTTTGAGATAAAAAAGATGTTAAAACTGATACTACAGAAACTCAAAGGGGCATTAGAAGATATTATGAGCAACTGTAAGTCAATAAATTGTAAATTCTAGAAGAAATGAATAAATTCCTAGATACATGCAACATACCAAGATTGAACCATGAAAAAATCCGAAACCTGAACAGATCAATAAAAAATAAAAGACTGAATCTGTAATTAAATGTCTCCAGCAAAGAAAAGCACAGGACACAATGGCTTTACTGCTGAACTTTTACCAAATATTTAAAGAAGAAACAATACTATTACTGAAACTATCCCCCAAAATGGAGAAAGGAATACCAAACTCATTCTATAAGACTGATAATAACATGATACGAAAACCAGGAAAAGATACATCCAAAAAAGAAACCTACAGGCAATATTTTACAAGCAACATCCATGATTAATATTTGTATTAGTCTATTCTCACACAGCTGTAAAGACATACCTGAGACGGGGTAATTTATAGAGAAAAGAAGTTTAGTTGACTCACAGTTCCACAGGCTGTATAGAAGGCATGGCTTAGGAGGCCTCAGGAAACTTACAATGATGGTGGAAGGTGAAGGGGAAGCAGGCAGGATCTTCACATGGCAGAGCAGGAGAGAGACAGGGCTAAGGGGAAGTGCTACAAACTTTCAAAAAACCAGATCTCGTGATAACCGACTATCAGGAGAACAGAAAGTGAGAAATCTGCTCCATGATCTGATCACTTCCTACCAGGCCCCTCCTTCAACACTGGTAATTACATACAATTCAACATGAAATTTGAGCGGGGACACAGAGCCAAACCGTACCACTGTTGATGCAAAAATCCTCAGTGAAATTCTAGAGAACTGAATTCAACAACTCATTAAAAAGTGCATTCATCATAACCAAGTGAGATTTATCCCAAGAGAGAAAAGATGGTTAAAAATACATAGTCAATCAGTATAATACATCATATCAAGAGAATGAAGGAAAAGAAACATAGGATTATTTCAATTCACGGTGGACAAGCATTTGACAAAATTCAGCATCCCTTTATAATAAACACTCACAAAAATTGTCATGGAAGAAACATTCCTCAACAAATAATAGCCATGTACAAAAAAACAAAAGCTAATACAATACTGACAGGGAAAAAAAAAATCTGAAAGTATCTCCTCTAAGCTCAGGAACAAGACAAGGATTCAAACTCTTACTATTGTTATTCTACATAGCACTTGAAGTCCTGGTTAACAAGAGAAAGATATAAACGGCATCCAAATTGGAAAGAAAGTACTCAAATTATCCTTGTTTGCTGATGATATGATCTTATATTTGCAAAAATCTAAAGACTCCACAAAAAACCTATTAGAACTGATAAACAAATGTATTAATGTTGCAGGACACAAAATCAACCTACAAAAATTAGTATCATTATATGTGCCAACAACAAACAATCTGAAAATGAAATGAAGAAAGGAATCCCATTTATAATAGGTACAAATCAAATAAAATATCTAGGAATTAACCAGAAAAGTGAAATACCTGTAAAATGAAAACTGTAAAACATTGATGAACGAAATTGAGGAAGACACGAAAAAGTGGAAAGATATTCCTTGTTCATGGATTGGAGGAAACAATATTGTTAATAATGTCTATACTCCTCAAAGCAATCTACAGATGCATGCAATCCCTGACAAAATATCAATGACATTCTTCACAGAGAAAAAAAAATCTAAAATTTATATGAAACTGAGAGAAGGTTCTAGCTGGGCTTTCTGGGTCGAGTAGGGGCTCAGAAAACTGTGAAACTCACTCATTTCCTGCAACAGGACTTACTTTGGTCCTGGATAAATGATATTAAAGATATATGCTTAAAATATTCCTAACATTAGCATTTGTGTATGTGTTTTCTTTCTCAAGAAAGCTATAAATAGCAAAACTTTTGCTGTAAGCTTCCTTGTGTCCTCTCTCCCTCTCTCCCTTCCCCCTCCCGTAAAACTAAAAAGAATGTTAAAAGCCCATTATTTTCTGTGATCAGCAGACCTTATTTATGCTCCCAATTCCAATTCCTTGTAAACACAATTTGTAAAATCCTGTGAGAGCCTGTCTCCTTTGCTGTGCTGCTACAAGGTTATAAAGTAAATCAAACAAGTTACAATTCCTGTTTTCCTCAAGATCTAAGACATGTTAATTGTCTTTGTTTTTTGCTCTGGTAACATCTTCCCGCCACACGTATTTCCCGC
This sequence comes from Homo sapiens, assembly GCF_000001405.40. NCBI lineage: Eukaryota > Metazoa > Chordata > Mammalia > Primates > Hominidae > Homo > Homo sapiens. The sequence continues at coordinate 81,812,023 of NC_000023.11, read as the reverse complement.
CTTAAAAAGTTTAAAAGGTCATCAAAAAATCTAACACTGGCTACCCGCTTGGGACCCCTTCCACGCTGTGGAAGCTTTATACTATCAGCCTGCTCAATAAAGCCTACATTTTTTTTTCTCTTGGTCCGATCCGTGTCTCTCTCTCACCGCGGGCTGCCGCCACACCAAATCTTTGGCGTGGCTAAGGCAAGAACCTTTGGCTACATTTTGGCGAGCCAGCCAGGAGGATCTCCAGGAAAGGCAGGTAGATCGTCACGTGGTGAGTAAGATTGGATCTCTTTCGCTTGCTATTCTGCCCTTTCCTTCCTTAGAATTCGGAGGCCAAACCGGGCACCTGTGGGCCACTTAAAGGCGATTAGCAGCCGCTGGACTAAAGACATGGGTGTCAGGCTGTCTGAAAAACGCTCTCTAACAACCCCCCGACCCTCCGGGGCTGGGAATGTTGGTTACTCTGCTTCCAGTTCATACTCTTTCACTTTCCGTGGCGGTCCTACAGGACACCCGGGAGTTATCAGCTGCCGTTCTAGTCTCCCAGATTTCCTGGTTAAGACCATGGCCCCACCAGAGGCTCCTCCTGCAAGGGTTACTGAGCGTGAGACCGCCACATCTTCTGACCCCTGCCTCCTGGGTCTTAATGTCCGCCTTCTAGACTTCTTTCCTCATCCAGCAAGCAAGGTTATTCCCGCTAGGCAGGATCAAGATTCCCTATTTAGAAGTCCTAAATACTTGGGGTGGTGCCCAAAAGATCCCTGTTCATGGTGCCCTCCAGGGTTTAGACAGGTGTCACCGTTCGATGGCTATTTTAAAGGGCAAGTTCCCCACCATAGTGTATGGTCCCCCACATCAAGACAATTTAAAGACAGGTCTGTAATTTTCATGTAGGTAGTAGAAGCCTTAGAGCATTTCCTCCATTGCTCCCCAAATAGACTTTCCCCTTCCTTGGGGCCTCTCAAGTACAATCTGTGGTGCATGGGTACAGCTCTTAGAGCCGACATTAAAACAGTTACGGGGGTTCCTTAAAATCACTGACTTTTGCCAACTGTGAATTCCTAAATACAGCAAAATGGCCAGGCCACTCTATACCCTAATAAAAAAAAAACTCAAAAGACAAACACCAATCTAATAAAATAAAAACCAAAAACAAAAACAGCCTTCGAAACTTTAAAACAGGCCCTGGTACAAACTCCAGCGCTGAGCCTCCCCACAGGACAAAATTTCTTGTTGTATGTCACCAAAAAAACAGACATAGGTCTTAAAAGTTCTCACTCAAACTCACGGGGCAACCCCACAACCAGTAACATACCTAAATTAAAAAATTAATATAGTAGCCAAAGACTGGCCTCACTGTTTACAGGTGGTTACAACAATAGCCATCTTAATGTCAAAGACTATTAAAATAATACAAGGAAAAAATCTCACCGTCTAGACAACTCACAATGTAAACGACATATTAAATACTAAAAAAAGTGTGTGACTCTCAAATAACCGCCTACTCAAATACCAGACACTACTCCTTAAGGGACCAGTATGTCAAATACACACATGTACGGCCCTCAACGCTGCCATGCCACTGTTCTCCCAGAGGATGAGGAACCAATTAAACATAACTACCAACAAATTATAACTCAGACTTACGCCGCCCAAAAACATCTCCTAAAAGTCCCCTTAGCTAACCCTAACCTTAACCTGTATGCGAATAAAAATTCTTTTGTAAAAAATAAAGTACAAAAAACAGACTATGCCATAGTTTTTTTTTTTTTTTTTTTTTTTTTTTTTTGAGACGGAGTCTCGCTCTGTTGCCCAGGCCGGACTGCGGACTGCAATGGCGCAATCTCGGCTCACTGCAAGCTCCGCTTCCTGGGTTCACGCCATTCTCCTGCCTCAGCCTCCCGAGTAGCTGGGACTACAGGCGCCCGCCACCGCGCCCGGCTAATTTTTTGTATTTTTAGTAGAGACGGGGTTTCACCTTGTTAGCCAGGATGGTCTCGATCTCCTGACCTCGTGATCCACCCGCCTCGGCCTCCCAAAGTGCTGGGATTACAGGCGTGAGCCACCGCGCCCGGCCAACTATGCCATAGTTAATAATACAACAGTACTTAAAAGTAAGCCTCTTCCCCCGGGGACCAGTACTCAGTTAACAGAACTAGTGACACTTACCCGAGCCTTAAAACTAAAAATAAATAAATAAATAAATGTGTACACAAATAACAAGTATACTTATCTAGTCCTACATACACATACTACAATATAAAAATAAAGTTCCTAACCTCTAAAAAAACACCCATTAAATACCACAAACAAAACAATCGTAATCGTAAAGTTATTACACACAGTACAAAAACCTAAAAAAGTAACAGTCTTACACTGCCAAAGCCATCAAAAAAAAAAAAAAAAAAAAAAAAAAAAACCACCAGACACTAAGGTCAAACTTACTGCCAGACAAAACTTTGCTCCAAAAATGCCCATAAAAGGACCCCTGGTATCAAACAACCCCCTTCAAAAAGTTAAGCCCCAGTATTCCCCAACTAAAACAAAATGGGGACTTTCATGAGGACATCATTTTCTCCCCTCTGGGTGACTAACAACGACAACAAAAAAGATACTCATACCTAAAGTCAGCCAATAAAAAATACTTAAAACCCTCCAGCAAACTTCTCATATGGATATTAAAAGTACCCATAAGATGGCCACATCCCTATTTAGAGGGCCACATCTCAAAACCATCCGACAAGTAGTCAAAGCCTGTAAAATGTGCCAAAAAAAAAACCGCTTAGCCCACTATAAGGCCTCTCCAAAAAGACAAAAAAAAGACATTATCCCAGAGAAGACTAACAGTTAAATTTTACCCATATGCCAAAGTCAAAAAAATTTCAGTACTTATTGGTCTGTATTAATACCTTTACAAATTAAATAAAAACTTTCCCTTATAAAACAAAAAAGGCCCAAAAAATGGTTAAAGCCTTAGTTCATAAAATAATTCTTAAATTTAAACTTTCCCAAAACTTACAAAAAAATAAGGAACCAACTTTTATTTTTTTTCTTTTTTTTAATTATACTTTAAGTTTTAGGGTACATGTGCACAACGTGCAGGTTAGTTACATATGTATACATGTGCCATGTTGGTGTGCTGCACCCAGTAACTCATCATTTAACATTAGGTATATCTCCAAATGCTATCCCTGCCCCCTCCCCCGACCCCACAACAGGCCCTGGTGTGTGATGTTCCCCTTCCTGTGTCCATGTGTTTTCATTGAAGAAACCAACTTTTAAAACAACAATAACTCAACAAATTTCCTAGACACTAAAAATACAATATCATCTTCACTGTGCCTAGAGGCCACAATCCTCAAAACAATTCAAAAAACTAATAAAACACTTAAAAGACATTTAAAAAACTATCACAAAAGCTCATCTCCCATGGCCCACTCTCTTGCCCATAGCCTTATTAAAAATTCAAAGCTCCCTTCACAAAATGGGACTCAGTCCTTATAAAATACTACATGGACGGCCTTTTATCACAAATAACCTCCTACTCAATCAAAAAACAGCCAATTTAGTCAAAAATATAACTTCGCTAACAAAGTATCAACAATATCTTAAAACTTTACCTAAAAAGTGTAACAAAAAAAAAAGTTATTACAAACAAAAAATCTAGTATTGGTCAAGTTTCTCCCCTCTACCTCTCCATCTATAAATCCCTTATGGGAGGGACCATACTCAATAATCCTCTCTACCCCCACTATAGTTAAAGTAGTAGGAGTAAAATCCTAAATTCACCACACCCAAGTCAAACCTTAAACAACTCCTAAAAAGCTTACAAAATCATCAACTCCAAAGTCACAAGGTCAGCCAGACCAGCTTCAATACACTTGTCAGTCACTAGAAGCCCTAAGTCTCCTTTTTCAAAAAAAAAAACCTCCAACCAAAAAAACTCCTAGAGTTAATCCTAAAAAAAACCCTTTTCGTACTTATGTTCCTTTCTCCAAGTACAACACACCCCCCGAGTCAGTGTGTCTCCCCTAAAAGAGTCAACTGACATTCTCTCAAAAACTCTAGGGAATTAGGTAGCCCCTTCCAAACACCCACATCTTTTGCCACATATACTTACATTAAAAAAAAGTTATAAAACTACATCTCTCTGTTCTCACAATAGCCTTACATATCACCAAAAAAAAAAAAAAAAATCCAAACTAACTACCCTAAAAAATGGGGGACCAACACTTGTTAGACATATTATACCCATATAGGTATGTCTAACAAAGGAGAAGTCCAAAATAAGACTAAAAAATGACATATCCAATAAATAATTAAAAACTTAGTCCAACTATCCAATACTCCCAGTCCATATAAAAAATTAGACCTTTCCAGACTACAAAAAACCCTTAACTATCATTCTCGTCTCTAAAGCCTGTTTAACACCACCCTTACAAAAATACAAAAAGCCTCTCCTAATAATCCAACCAACTGTTGAATGTGTCTCCCCTTACGTTTTCAACCATATGTCCCAGTCCCTCTCCCCAAACAGTAAAATTTATCCACCCCAGTCCTAAACACCACCAAATTAATCAGTCCCATAGTCACCAATTTACCAACCACACAGGCCTCATATCTCACATACATAAACTTCAACATGACTCTCAAGAAAAACGCCTCCCAATGTCAGTCCTAAACATCAATAACCTCAGGTTTCACCTGTCTAACATCAGACATTTTTTTTCATCTATAATAACACAACCTATCAATGCCTGAATGGCACTCCAAAAGAACTATACTTTCTCTCCTTTCTAACACCTCCCATGTCCATATATACTAAACAAAAGTTACAAAGTCTCCTTATACCCCAGTCTCACCAGTCACAAGCTCTTATTGTCCCTTTTATTATAAAAGCCAAAATACTTGGCAAACTTAAGACTAAAATTAGAGACATAACCTCCTCCACCCAATTCTATTATAAATTATCACAAAAATTAAATAATAAAACAAGTTGCCAACTCCCTAGTGACCCTACAAAGCCAACTTAATTCTCTAACTATGGTAGTCCTTCAAAACCAGAGAGCCCTAAACTTATTAACAACTAAAAGAGAAAAAACCTGCCTCTTCTTTAAAAAAAAAAAAAAAAAAAGTTACTATTTCATTAACCAGTCAAAAATCATTACTTAAAAAATAAAAAAATAAATAAAAATAAAAAACAAAACAAAACAAAAAAACTTAAACACTCAAAGCCCTAAAATATATTTAATCAATAAATACCTTGACTCCTCCCCTTTCTAGGCCCTACAACAGCCATCCTACTACTATTCATTTTCGGGCCTTACATTTTTAACCTCCTTGTCAAATTTGTTTCCTCCAAAATCAAGGCCATCAAACTACAAATGGTCTTACAAATAAAACCTCAAACAAACTCAACTCACGACTTCTACCAAGGACCCCTAAATCAACCCACTGGTCCCTCACTAACCTAAAAAGTTCCCCTCTAAAAGACACCACAGTTACAGGTCCCCTTTGCCCGTAATAAACAAAAAGTAACCAAAACAACCACTGCCCAATTCCTAACAGCAGTTGGGGTGTCCAGTCTAAAGGGGGGACTGAGAGGAGGTTCCAGCTGGGCTTCCTGGGTCAAGTAGGGGCCCAGAAAGCTGTGAAACTCACTCATTTCCTGCAACAGGACTTACTTTGGTCCTGGATAAATAATATTGAAGATATATGCTTAAAATATTCCTAACATCAGAATTTGTGCATGTGTTTTCTTCCCCAAGAAAGCTATAAATAGCAAAACTTTTGCTGTAAGCTTCCTTGTGTCCTCTCTCCCTCTCTCCCTTCCCCCTCCCGTAAAACTAAACAGAATGTTAAAAGCCCATTATTTTCTGTGATCAGCTGACCTTATTTATGCTCCCAATTCCAATTCCTTGTAAACACAATTTGTAAAATCCCGTGAGGTCCTGTCTCCTTTGCCATGCCGCTACAAGGTTATAAAGTAAATAAAACTTGAGTTACAATTCCTGTTTTCCTCGAGATCTAAGACATGTTAATTGTCTTTGTTTTTTGCTCTGGTAACATCTTCCCGCCACACGTATTTCCCGCCTTAAAAAGTTTAAAAGGTAATCAAAAAATCTAACACCGGCTACCCGCTTGGGACCCCTTCCACGCTGTGGAAGCTTTATACTATCAGTCTGCTCAATAAAGTCTACAGCTTTTTTTCTCTTGGTCCGATCCGTGTCTCTCTCACCGCGGGCTGCCGCCACACCAAATCTTTGGCGTGGCTAAGGCAAAAACCTTTGGCGTTAGAAAACCACAAAAGGCCTAAGACAGTCAAAGTTATCCTAGGAAAAAAACTGGAGAAATTACATTACCTGACTTCAAATTATAATACTGAGCTATATTAACTAAAATACCATGGTACTGGCATAAAAACAGGAATATAACCAACAGAACCAAATACAGAACAAAGAAACAAATCTACACATCTTCAATGAACTCATTTTTGGCAAAAAAGCCAAGAACATACATTGGGAAAAAGACAGCCTCTTCAATAAATAGTGCTGGGAAAACTGGTTAGGCATACTGAAAATAATAAAACTAGACTCCTATATCTTCCCACATGCAAACATCAATCAAAATAGTTACTTAAACATGAGACCTCAAACTATGAAGCTAATCAAAGAAAACACTGAAGAAACTTTTCAGGACAATGGACTGAGCAAGAATTTCTTGAGTAATACCCCACAAATACAGACAACAAACACAAAAATGGACAAATGGAATCATATCAAGTTAACACCCTTATACACAGCAAGGGAAACAATAAAAACAACATGAAGAGACAACACGCAGAATAAGATAAAATATTTGCAAGCTATCCATCTGACAAAGGATTAGTACTCATAATATGTAAAGGAGTTATACAACTCTACAGGAAAAAATATCTAATAATCCAATTAAAAATGGTCAAAAATTCTTAATAGACATTTCTCAAAAGAAGACATACAAATGACAAACATGCATATAAAAAGGTGTTGAACATGGTTGATTGTCAGAGAAATGAATATCAAAACTACAGTGACATATCATCTCACCCCAGGTAAAATGGCTTTTGTACAAAAAATAGGAAATAACAAATACTGTTGAGGATGTGGAGAAATGGTAACACTATTACACTGTGAGTGGGAATGCAAATTAGTACCACAGTGTTTGGAGACTCCTCAAAAAACTAAAAAGAAAGCTACCGTGTGATCTGGCAGTTCCACTGCTAGGTATATTCCCATAAGAAAGGAAATCTGTATATTAAAGAGATACCTGCACTCTGAAATGTTGCAGTGCTATTCACAATAGCCAAGATTTGGAAGCAACCTAAGTGTCCCTCAACAGACAAATGGATAAAGAAAAAACCTGGTACATAAACACAATGGACTGCTATTCAGCCATAAAAATGAATGAGATCCCTTCATTTGCAACAACTTGAATGGAATTCAAGATGATTCTGGTAAGTGAAATAAGTCAGGCATCGAAAGACAAACTTTGTATGTTTTCACTTATTTTTGAAAGCTAAAAATTGAAACAATCAAATTGTGGAGATAGGAGGTAGAAAAATGGTTACCAGCAGCTGGGAAGGGTAGTAGGTGATGTGAGTGGGTTTGGTTCATAGGTACAAAAAAAAAGTTAAAGAATGAAAAAGACATAGTATTTGATAGCACAACAGTGTGACTACAGTCAACAATAATTTATCGTATACTTTAAAATAACTAAAAGTGTATAATTTAATTGTTCATAACACAAAGAATGGGTAAATGCTTGAGGTGATGAATATCTGTACCCTGATGTGATGATTACACCTTGTATGTCTGTACCAAAATATCTCATGTATCCCATAAATATGTATACCTACTAGGTACCCACAAAAATTAAGCATAAAAAATTAAAAGTAAATTAATTTTGTAAGTGTAATGAAATTCTTGTTTTTGAAGCATATTTTATCCGTAGCCAAATTAAAGTTATATATCTCTGGAAGCTTGTTGACATATGGTATCATTTACAGTGACATTATTTCAGAAAAAATTTAGTTCTAGGAAAATACAAGTAGGACAAGCTACTGTATCTACTGCAATACCGTTTAATTATGTTATGAATCCTCATGTTGTCAGATACTTTTGGCCACTGCTGACCAAATTTAAGGCCAGGCACAGTGACTCACGCCCGTAATCCCAACACTTTGGGAGGCCAAGGTGGTGGATCACTTGAGGTCAGGAGCGCGAGACCAGACTGGCCAGCACTGTGAAACCCTGTCTCTACTAAAAATACAAAAATTGGCCAGATGTGGTGGCACAAACCTGTAGTCCCAGCTACTTGGGAGGCTGAGGCAGGAGAATTGCTTGAACCCAGGAGGCAGAGGTTGCAGTGAGCAGAGTCGAGCCTGGGAGACAGAGTGAGACTCTGTCTCAAAAAAAAAAGAAGAAAAAGAAAAAGAAAAAATTAAGAAAAAATGACATCATGATAACAGTAGTATTTTAGGCATAATAATCTTAAAGTATTTATTCAGGATGACATTTGTGAGGGTAGTGAGCCTGGAGGTGAGAAAACAGTTTGAAAACTATTAGTAATAACCAAGATGTGAGGTAAAAGCAGATAATACATGTGTTTTCATTTTCTTTTAATTTCATTTGAATGCTTATTGGTCCAATATAAGAGATCGTTTTGTCCATGCCTTTCTCTCACTACATTGTGAACTCTTTAGAGACACACCATGTCTTTTGATCTCACAATGTCAATATTCCTTGGGTTAATTAATAGTAAGTCACTGTTTTTCTCCTTATCTTTAATTTGAGTGAAAAAATTGCCAGAGGGCTTAGATAGGCCTCTTCATAAAAAGGAAGAAACATCGGTAAGGAATTCTCAAGGGCTATTTCTCTAAATTATATAAATCTAAATTCATTTGATCAGTATCTCAACATCCCAATTCTCAAATACTTCATAGGAGCATAGGAGTGATAATTTATGATAAATGCTAGAAGAAAATTTGCATGAAATCAGCCAGTTCTTAATTTATTTCCTCAAACAAAAATCCTAAATAAATGCTATGCATTATCTTATCTGCTCAGTGAAATAAAAAGAAAAATTCCCCTCCAATGTGCAATAAATATATAACATATCACTGAGAATTATAAGTGCTTCAAATGTTTGTATATTTTCTGGACTTTAATAATGTTTTACACTTAATAAATATTATAAAAGTAAGTCTAGGATTATCACAAATTTTTATGAAATTCAAATAAAATTGACAAAGTTCATAGGCTTGAGTCACTTGATGAATTTACATAATAAGAATAAGCAACGCTTGGCCCAATTTAAGGGGTATTTTTTTCCATAACTACTTACTATATTTAATACCTGAACATGGTTTAGAATGGGTCATAAAGTAGAAATGTTTTTTAAAAAACCACAGGAGGCCAGGCACGGTGGCTCATGCCTGTAATCCCAGCACTTTGGGAGGCTGAGGCAGGCAGATTGCCTGAGCTCTGGAGTTCGAGACTAGCCTGGGCAACATGGTGAAACCCCGTCTCTACTAAAATACAAAAAAATTAGCCTGCGATGGCGGCATGTGCCTGTAATCCCAGCTACTCGGGAGGTTGAGGCAGTAGAATTGCTTGAACCTGGGAGGCGGAGGTTGCAGTGAGCCGAGATTGTGCCACTGCACTCCAGCCTGGGCGAAAGAGCAAGACTACGTCTCAAAAACAAACAAACAAACAAAAAAACAAAAAACAAACAAAAAAACACAGGAAACATTTTGTTAATACCTGTCACAGAAATTTAAAAATCAATTATTTTAACAGACATGTCTATTAATAATTAAATCATGACAGAAGAATAATTTGAAACAGTAGCTATTTTCCCCTTGCCATATAACCTTGTACATTTTGGTTAATCTATGGATTCATTTACTCTTCTAGAAGATTCTGCTTTAATTACCAAATGAAGGAATAGCAGCAGAGCTAAATATAAGAACAATATTTGGCTTTTAATTTTCAAAATTTTCAATGGGAAAGCTGAAAGAATTCAGATCATGAAGAAATGAACAGTGAATTTGTGATTGCCTACTGATGAATAAGACCACAGCTATCTAATCTCAAGCTATGTAAAAGTTTCCCACTGTAGAAGAAAGTCAAGGTAAAGAAAAGAAATAATAGACATTGAAAGTCCTCAGGAAAGGGGGTTTACATGCCATGCAATATTTTCTAGACCTGCTATGGATGGTGGTGGTGGTATAGACTTAATTAGGTTTTAAGAGATTTGATTAGGCTTAAGAGATCAGAGATCATAGAAAAGCAATTTCTCCTTTTCTGGGTAGAACCCCAAGGAGATTTCAGACCCTCAAAGAAAAATTATCTGTATATTATATCTAAGCAGAAAGGTTCTTAGATAAGCTTCTGAAAGTTTGCCATTGCTCAACATGCAAAATAATCATAGAATGGTACCCATGCACTTGTAGGCTATGGGAGACACTAAAGGAGAACAGGCCTAATGATACATTGTTTTATACAATTCCTGCTCACCTCCAATCCCAGAATTTTGATACAAACCTAAGAAATAAAAGAAACTCTAAGCTCACTAAGATGATGTTTCTACTGTTAAAAAAAAGAGCTACTCAAAAAGTTGAAAATAAAGCAAAAGAAAGAAAAAATTACAATGTGCTTTTTCAGTATCATACTGGAATAGTACTACTCAATGTACATATCTGTAATAAAACCAGCCGCTTGCATCAGAATGCACATTTGCATGCTGTTCCTTCATTGAGAAAGTCTTGCTATTAAATAGAAGACAAAATGCTAGACAAATTAAATAATGTACTTAGTGTCGTAGTTGACTTCGAGCTGGCAAAAACTTTGTATTCTGTGACTGACAGTAACAAATATTCCCTGGACTAGAAGCTGAGTAACATGCCACACTTCATGTAGTACTGCACTAGAACATTATCTAATATGTTTGATTAAAACTCATCTGATTCTCTAAGACCTTAACTTTTTGACTTGCTATTGCTCCAGATTGTAAAGTTAGATCCTAATTGGCAGAAAATTGTTAATTTGGATATTATATTTATCTGTAGAAATGAAAATTATTTCTGTTGAATATTGTAAAACAACATCTGAAGGCTTGTAGCTTTATTTCTCTGTAAGACATTAATCATTACTATATGTAACTTAATAACTTTATTCTGAATTTCTGTTTCCACCGACACACATGCACACACACAAACATATGATATATCCATAGATAGATAGATAGTGTATAGTCATAGATATTATTTTTAATGAAATTATTTTAATAGAGAGAGCATAAAAACCATCAGGTAGCATGTGGCTGGGATTCAGCTAAAGACACCAAGTTTATACTTAGGGCTGTTTCACAAAGCAAAACCCTAAACTCTGTGGCACTGGTTTTTGGGCCCCAGAGTACTGTAAGCCATCTTTAATCATCTGGAGCGTCTATCTTTTCCTGAAATTTTGGATGGTGAAGTTACTTTATAATTACATTGTGGGGGTGGTAGTTGCTGTGATTGATCCATCCAGGATTATGTCATCTGCAGACAAAGATAGTTTGACTTTCTCTTTTTCTATTTGAATATCCTTTATTTCTTTCTCTTACCTGATTACCCCAGCCAGAACTTCCAATACTATGCTCATGATTTTGTCCACTCATCATTCCTCTTCAACATAGAACTGGAAGTCCTAGATAAAACAAATCAGGCAAGAGAAAGAAAGAAAAGGCATCCAAATAGAAAAAGAAGAAATCAAACTATCTATCTTCACTGATGATGACTCTATAACTAGAAAATCCTAAAGGCTTTTCAAGAAGTTTCCTAGAATTGATAAACAACTTTAGTGAAATTTCAGATTAACAAATCAATGTACAAAAATCAGTAGCATTTCTATACAGCAACAACATTCAGGCTGAGAATGAAATCAAAAAAACAATCAAACTTACAATAGCCACGAAGAAAATGAAAGACATAGTAATACAGCTAACAAAAGAGGTGAATATCTCTACAAGGAGAACTACAAAACAGTGTTGAAATAAATCAAATATGACACAAATAAATGGGAAAATATTTCATGCTTATGGATTGGAAGAACCAATATTGTAAAAGTGGTCATACTGTTTGCCCAAAGCAATTTACTGTTTCAATGCTATTTCAATCAAATCTCCAGTGCCATTTTTTACAGAATTAGGAAAAATATATTCTAAAATACATAAAGAGCAAAAAAAGCCTGAATAATCAAAGCAATCCTAAGCAAAAAAAATAAAGCCAGAGGAATAAAACTACCTGACTCAAACTATACTATAAAGACGTAGTAACCAAAACAGCTTGGTTGGCACAAAAACAAAGACACAGCATAATGGAACACAATAGAAAACTCAGAAATAAATTTGTGCACCTAAAACCATCTGATCTTTGAGAAGGCTGACAAAAACAAGCAATGGGGAATGTACTCCCTATTCAATAATTAGTGCTGGGATAACTGGCTAGCCATGTGCAGCAGATTAAAGCTGGAGCCCTGTCTTTCACTATATATAAAAATTAACTCAAGATACATTAAAGATTTAAATGTAAGACCTCAAACTATAAGAATCCTGGAAGACAAACTAGAAAATACTGTTCTTGACATCAACCTTGGCAAAGAATTTTTGGCTAAGTCTACAAAGGCAATTGAAAAAAACTAAAATAGGCAAGTGACACCTAATTAAACTAAAGAGCTTCTTTACAGAAAAAGAAACTATCAGCAGTGCAAACAGACAACCTACAGTATGGTAGAAGGTATTCACAAACTATGCATTGGACAAAGGCCTAATACTCAGAATCTATAGGAAACTTAAATCAATAAGTGAAAAACAAATAACTTCATTGAAAAATGGGAAAATCACTTGAACAGACACTTCTCAAAAGAAGACACACAAGTGGCCAACGAACATATGAAAAAAAGGTCAGTATCACTAATTATTAGAGAAATACAAATCAAAACCACAAGGTGATCCCATCTCACACCAGTCAGAATGGCTATTACTAAAAAGCCAAAAAAAAAAAAAAAAAAAGAATGTTGGTGAAGCTGTGGGGAAAAGAGAATGCTTACACACTGTTAGTTGGAAAGTAAACTAGTTTAGCCACTGTGGAAAGCAGTCTGGAGATTTCTCAAAGAACCCAAAGCAGAGCTACCATTTTAACTGAGCAATCTCATTACTGGGTTTATATCTAAAAAGAAAATAAACAATTCTACCAAAGAGAAACAAACACTCATATGTTCACTGTAGCACCATTCTTAATAATGAAGACATGAAATGAACCTTGGTGCCCATCAATGGTGGATTAGATAAAGAAAATATGATACTGTGTTAGTCAGGGTTATCTAAAGGGACAAAACTAATAGGATGTATGTATATAAGAAGGGGAGTTTATTAGGAGAATTGACTCACAGGATCACATGGTGAAGTCCCACAATAGGCCATCTGCAAGCTGAGGAGCAAGGAAGCCAGTCCAAGTCCCAAAACCTCAAAAGTAGGGAAGCTGACAGTGCAGCCTTCAGCCTGTGGACAGAGGACCAAGAACCCCTGGCAAACCACTGGTGTAAGTCCAAGAGTCCAAAAGCTGAAGAACTTGGGGTCTTATGTTCAAGGGCAGGAAGAATCCAGCATGGGAGAAAGAAGAAGGCTGGAAGACCCAGCAAGTCTCCTCTTTTCAACTTCTGCCTGCTTTATTCTAGTTGCACTGGCAGCTGATTAGATGGTGCCCACCCAGATTGAGGGTGGGTCTGCCTCTTTCAGTCCACTGACTCAAATGTTAATCTCTTTTGGCAACACCCTCACAGACACACCAAGGAGCAATACTTTGCATCCTTCAATACAATCAAGTTGACACTGAATATTAACCATCACACATATGTGTTATGGAATACTACAAAGCTATTAAAAAGAAAAAATAATATCTTTTCCAGCAACATGGATGCAGCTAGATGATATTATCCTAAGCAAATTCTCACAGTAACAGAAAACCAAATACCACGTTCTCACTTATAAGTGAGGGCTAAGCATTAGGTACTCATGGACATAAAGGTGGAAGAATAGACATTGGAGGCTCTAAAAAGGAGAAATTGGGGATAGAGCAAGGGTTGAAAAACTATTGGGTAGTGTGCTTGCTTCCTTGGTGACAGGATCAATTGTACCTGAACCTAAGCATTATATAATATACTCATGTAGTGAACCTGTACATGTAACCCTTGAATCTAAAATAAAATTTGAAATTATAAAAAAATAAACAAAGTAGTCCTTATTTACCAAATAGACAATCATTCTTCACACCTTTGGGGGTTTCCAAATGTCTTCTCCACTTCCCAGAATTTTTTTCCCCCATTCTCCTTTTGGGTAGCAAAGATGCAGCAATGTTCTGTCATATGATAACGTAGTTTGGGAAACTTGAAGAGGGCAGAAAGATGTGTGAGGTAATGCTGAGAATGTCTCTTGACTTGAATCTCCCTACCACATATTGTTATTGTGAATAATAATGTGTTATTTCAATACTGAAGTGGCCTCTCATATGTAATAGCAAACTATTTCTAGGAACAACAAAATCAATTTTGTGGAGAGTAAATTAACCTGTGTGGTCAATTTGCATGTTTTTACATGAGATATTTTGTATTTTTCAAAGACCCAAGTAGCAATTTGGAAGGCATGCTATAGGCATTGTTGTTAATCCTTAAGTATAAAAGTATTTCAATACCGCAGGACATAACCTTACGAAAGGAAAAACTTCAGCAAGTATTGTCTTCTTTTTTTTATTATACTTTAAGTTTTAGGGTACATGTGCACAATGTGCAGGTTTGTTACATATGTATACGTGTGCCATGTTGGTGTGCTGCACCCATTAACTCATCATTTAGCATTAGGTATACCTCCTAATGCTATCCCTCCCCACCTCCCCCAACCCCACAACAGTCCCCGATGTGTGATGTTCCCCTTCCTGTGTCCATGTGTTCTCATTGTTCAATTCCCAACTATGATTGAGAACATGCGGTGTTTGGTTTTTTGTCCTTGTGATAGTTTGCTGAGAATGATGGTTTCCGGCTTCATCCATGTTCCTACAAAGGACATGAACTCATCCTTTTTTATGGCTGCATGGTATTCCATGGTGTATATGTGCAACATTTTCTTAATCCGGTCTATCATTGTTGGACAATTGGGTTGGTTCCAAGTCTTTGCTATTGTGAATAGTGCCGCAGTAAACATACCTGTGCATGTGTCTTTATAGCAGCATGATTTATAGTCCTTTGGGTATATACCCAGTAATGGGATGGCTGGGTCAAATGGTATTTCTAGTTCTAGATCCCTGAGGAATGGCCACACCGACTTCCACAATGGTTGAAATAGTTTACAGTCCCACGAACAGTGTAAAAGAGTTCCTATTTCTCTACATCCTCTCCAGCACCTGTTGTTTCCTGACTTTTTAATGATCACCATTCTAACTGGTGTGAGAGGGTATCTCATTGCGGTTTTGATTTGCATTTCTCTGATGGCCAGTGATGATGAGCATTTTTTCAAGTGTCTTTTGGCTGCATAAATGTCTTCTTTTGAGAAGTGTCTGTTCATATCCTTCACCCACTTTTTGATGGGGTTGCTTGTTCTTTTCTTGTAAATTTGTTTGAGTTCATTGTAGATTCTGGATATTAGCCCTTTGTCAGATGAGTAGATTGCAAAAATTTTCTCCCATTCTGTAGGTTGCCTGTTCACTCTGATGGTAGTTTCTTTTCTGTGCAGAAGCTCTTTAGCTGAATTAGATCCCGTTTGTCAATTTTGGCTTTTGTTGCCATTGCTTTTGGTGTTTTAGACATGAAGTCCTTGCCCATGCCTATGTCCTGAATGGTATTGCCTAGGTTTTCTTCTAGGGTTTTTATAGTTTTAGGTCTAACGTGTAAGTCTTTAATCCATCTTGAATTAATTTTTGTATAAGGTGTAAGGAAGGGATCCAGTTTCAGCTTTCTACATATGGCTAGCCAGTTTTCCCAGCACCATTTATTCAATAGGGAATCCTTTCCCCATTGCTTGTTTTTCTCAGGTTTGTCAAATATCAGATAGTCGTAGATATGTGGCATTATTTCTGAGGGCTCTGTTCTGTTCCACTGGTGTATATGTCTGTTTTGGTTCCAGCACCATGCTGTTTTGGTTACTGTAGCCTTGTAGTATAGTTTGAAGTCAGGTAGCATGATGCCTGCAGCTTTGTTCTTTTGGCTTAGGTTTGACTTGGCAATGTGGGCTCTTTTTTGGTTCCATATGAACTTTAAAGTAGTTTTCTCCAATTCTGTGAAGAAAGTCATTGGTAGCTTGATGGGGATGGCATTGAATCTCTAAATTACCTTGGGCAGTATGGCCATTTTCACGATATTGATTCTTCCTATCCATGAGCCTGGAATGTTCTTCCATTTGTTTGTATCCTCTTTTATTTCATTGAGCAGTGGTTTGTAGTTCTCCTTGAAGAGGTCCTTCATGTCCCTTGTAAGTTGGATTCCTAGGTATTTTATTCTCTTTGAAGCAATTGTGAATGGGAGTTCACTCATGGTTTGGCTGTTTGTCTGTTATTGGTGTGTAAGAATGCTTGTGATTTTTGCACATAGATTTTGTATCCTGAGACTTTGCTGAAGTTGCTTATCAGCTTAAGGAGATTTTGGGCTGAGACAATGGGGTTTTCTAGATATACAATCATGTCATCTGCAAACAGGGAGAATTCGACTTCCTCTTTTCCTCATCGAATGCCCTTTATTTCCTTCTCCTGCCTGATTGCCCTGGCCAGAACTTCCAACACTATGTTGAATAGGAGTGGTGAGAGAGGACATCCCTGTCTTGTGCCAGTTTTCAAAGGGAATGCTTCCAGTTTTTGCCCATTCAGTATGATATTGGCTGTGGGTTTGTCATAGATACCTCTTATTATTTTGAGATACATCCCATCAATACCTAATTTATTGAGAGCTTTTAGCATGAAGAGTTGTTGAATTTTGTCAAAGGCCTTTTCTGCATCTATTGAGATAATCATGTGGTTTTTGTCTTTGGTTCTGTTTATATGCTGGATTACATTTATTGATTTGCGTATGTTGAACCCGCCTTGCACCCCAGGGATGAAGCCCACTTGATCATGATGGATAAGCTTTTTTATGTGCTGCTGGATTTGGTTTGCCAGTAATTTATTGAGGATTTTTGCATCGATGTTCATCAGGGATATTGGTCTAAAATTCTCTTTTTTGGTGTGTCTCTGCCAGGCTTTGGTATCAGGATGATGCTGGCCTCATAAAATGAGTTAGGGAGGATCCCCTCTTTTTCTATTGATTGGAATAGTTTCAGAAGGAATGGTACCAGCTCCTCCTTGCACCTCTGGTAGAATTCAGCTGTGAATCCATCTGGTCCTGGACTTTTTTTGGTTGTTTAGCTATTAATTATTGCCTCAATTTCAGAGCCTGTTATTGGTCTGTTCAGAGATTCAACTTCTTCCTAGTTTAGTCTTGGGAGGGTGTATGTTTTGAGGAATTTATCCATTCCTTCTAGATTTTCTAGTTTATTTGCATAGAGGTGTTTATAGTATTCTCTGATGGTAGTTTGTACTTCTGTGGGATCGGTGGTGATATCCCCTTTATCATTTTTTATTGTGCCTATTCGAGTCTTCTCTGTTTTCTTCTCTATTAGTCTTGCTAGCAGTCTATCAATTTTGTTGATCTTTTCAAAAAACCAGCTCCTGGATTCATTGATTTTTTGCAGGATTTTTTGTGTCTCTATTTCCTTCAGTTCTGCTCTGATCTTAGTTATTTCTTGCCTTCTGCTAGCTTTTGAATGTGTTTGCTCTTGCTTCTCTAGGTCTTTTTATTGTGATGTTAGGGTGTCAATTTTAGGTCTTTCCTGCTTTCTCTTGTGGGCATTTAGTGCTATAAATTTCCCTCTACACATTGCTTTGAATGTGTCCTAGAGATTCTGGTATGTTATGTCTTTCTTCTCATTGGTTTCAAAGAACATCTTTATTTCTGCCTTTATTTCTTTATGTACCCAGTAGTCCTTCAGGAGCAGGTTGTTCTGTTTCCATGTAGTTGAGTGGTTTTGAGTGAGTTTCTTAATCCTGAGTTCTAGTTTGATTGCACTGTGGTCTGAGAGACAGTTTGTTATAATTTCTGTTCTTTTACATTCACTGAGGAGTGCTTTACTTCCAACTATGTGGTCAATTTTGGAATAGGTGTTGTGTGGTGCTGAAAAAAATGTATATTCTGTTGATTTGGGGTGGAGAGGTCTGTAGATGTCTGTTAGGTCCTCTTGGTGCAGAGCTGAGTTCAATTCCTGGATATCCTTGTTAACTCTCTGTCTCATTGATCTGTCTAGTGTTGACAGTGGGGTGTTAAAGTCTCCCATTATTATTGTGTGGGAGTCTATGTCTCTAGGTCTCTAAGGACTTGCTTTATGAATCTGGGTGCTCCTGTATTGTGTGCATATATATTTAGGACAGTTAGCTCTTCTTGTTGAATCGATCCCTTTACCATTATGCAATGGCCTTCTTTGTCCTTTTTGATATTTGTTGGCTTAAAGTCTGTTTTATCAGAGACTAGGGTTGTAACCCCTGACTTTTTTTGTTTTCCGTTTGCTTGGTAGATCTTCCTCCATCCCTTTATTTTGAGCCTATCTGTGTCTCTGCACGTGAGATGGGTTTCCGGAATACAGCACACTGATGGGTCTTGACTCTTTATCCAATTTGCCAGTCTGTGTCTTTTAATTGGAGCATTTAGCCCATTTACATTTAAAGTTAATATTGTTATGTGTGAATTTGATCCTGTCATTATGATGCTAGCTGGTTATTTTGCTCATTAGTTGATGCAATTTCTTCCTAGCCTCAATGGTCTTTACAATTTGGCATGTTTTTGCAGTGGCTGGTACCGGTTCTTCCTTTCCATGTTTAGTACTTCCTTCAGGAGCTCTTTTAGGGCAGGAGTGGTGGTGACAAAATCTCTCAGCATTTGCTTGTTTGTAAAGTATTTTATTTCTCCTTCACTTATGAAGCTTAGTTTGGCTGGATATGAAATTCTGGGTTGAAAATTCTTTCCTTTAAGAATGTTGAATATTGGCCCGCACTCTCTTCTGGCTTGTAGAGTTTCTGCTGAGAGATCTGCTGTCAGTCTGATGGGCTTCCCCTTGTGGGTAACCTGACCTTTCTCTCTGGCTGCCTTTAACATTTTTTCCTTCATTTCAACTTTGGTGAATCTGACAATTATGTGTCTTGGAGTTGCTCTTCTCGAGGAGTATCTTTGTGGCATTCTCTGTGTTTCCTGAATTTGAATGTTGGCCTGCCTTGCTAGATTGGGGAAGTTCTCCTGGATAATATCCTACAGAGTGTTTTCCAACTTGGGTCTATTCTCCCCGTCACTTTCAGGTACACCAATCAGATGTAGATTTGGTCTTTTCACATAGTCCCATATTTCTTGGAGGCTTTGTTCGTTTCTTTTTATTCTTTTTTCTCTAAAGTTCTCTTCTCACTTCATTTCATTCATTTGATCTTCCATCACTGATACCCTTTCTTCCAGTTGATCGCATAGGTTACTGAGGCTTGTGCATTCGACATCTAGTTCTGGTGCCGTGGTTTTCAGCTCCATCGGGTCCTTTACGGACTTCTCTGCATTGGTTATTCTAGTTAGCTATTCGTCTAATTTTTTTTTCAAGGTTTTTAACTTCTATGCCATGGGTTCAAACTTCCTCCTTTAGCTCGGAGTAGTTTGATCATCTGAAGCCTTCTTATCTCAACTCGTCAAAGCCATTCTCCATCCAGCTTTGTTCCATTGCTGGTGAAGAGCTGTGTTCCTTTGGAGGAGTAGTGGTGCTCTGATTTTTAGAGTTTCCAGTTTTTCATTACCGTCTTCTTAAACTTTGCATGTTGCCAAAATAGCATGAGAAAATAAACATAGGAAATTGATTTTTTAATTCTTCTACAGTACTGAATAAACCATCAAAAAGAAAATTTGCCAACATATGGCAGTCTGAAATGCAGCTGGGGTATCTTTCCACCTGGGAACACTGACTGAGCTATTTGGCTGATCTTCGCAAGGCTCCCTGTGAAAAACAATAAGGAATGTATTCCCTTAGTCCATGCTGGACTCTTGAAGTGCGTGCATGTTACCCAACCTAACTGCCTGTAAGCTCCCCAGAGACAAGGCCACTGACACAAAACTTTTTTAAGATGAGGAATGTAGCTTTTTGTTTCCAAAATGGCAGATAAGAGGCAATGCTAGCATACCACTTCTACTGGGAAGGGGAAAACAGTTTGTACAGATTCACTCTGTGAACTATTTTCAAGAAGTGATACAGGAATTGAACAGGACAACCAAGGGAATTCAGACTCTCTGAAGGAAAGTAGCAGGCTGCAGCTACACAGTGAATTAGCCAAAGACCTGTGAGTCCCCAGAGTGTGAAGAGGGGAAGAGACTGCCTCTGGGATTCAAACCAATGGAGAGCTTGAAAGTCCAGGCCACGGGGAAATACTTACTTCTACACAATGCTGGAACCAACTTGGGAGGGTGTCGTGAGATATAAAAGTGGAAGCAGTATCAGAAAGACCCATGTGTACACTCCCAGTGTCCAGTATGGAGTGAGGGAAGACATTCCTTATTGTTTTCATAGGGGAGTTTGTGGAGGTCAGCCAAATAGCTCAAGCAGTGGTCACAGGTTGAAACACACCCCTAACTGGGTTTCACAATGTAATGACAAAGGGGGTTGAACTCCTTTGGCCAGGAGCTGGGGTAGCAGTGAGTAAAATGTGGGCTGCAGCCAGGAATGCAGAAGTCAGGCATCTGGCTTTGTAGGCAGATGAGGTGGATTGTGGCAGGGCAATGGCCTAAAAGCCATGGTTGCTTTCTCCACAGGGAAAGCTTATGACCTGGGGCAGTTGTGAGTTCTGAATGCAGGCTGCCTGGAACTTAGCTCGCTGCTTCTAGTGGAACACTGTGGGAGTGGGGTTTGCCTCAGCAAGTTTGCGGGATCTGTGTGGGATTTACTGCTGCCTGGCACTCCCCAATCCCTGCACAAAGTCTTTTGTGCAGCAGAGGCAGCAACATTCCTTTCTGGAACATTAACTCAGTGGCCTGAGAGCTCTCACTGTCCCCTGACACCTATGGGCCTGCTTCTTGCCCTGGACATGTAGAGTCAGAGCACAAATCCTCCTGACCCAGCCCCCACCTGGGTTTGCCCTGCTACTCACCCTGGTAGCTTAGAACAAAGGACATAATGTTGGGGAGCTATATGACCCTGCCCATTGCCTGAGAAACCAGAGTGACTCCTCAAGCAACATAAGGCAAGCAAAAATCTCACTGCTACTACCATAGCTGTTGCTCTATTAGAAGCACAACCTTCTGGCTGGAGGCCAACCAACACAGTCCATTGCAGCATCTCCTGGTAGAATAACACTGAACCCAGAAAGAAGAAAATGGCTGTGTGACCTCAGCTATCACCACTAGTTTTACCACTCTGGATAACCAGAGGTTCCGGAGTCTGTTCATGTGACCAGTTTATTACTATTATAACTTGTGTTCAAGAAAACCAACACAGGGCCATCTATAACCAAGGAATCTCACAGAGTCTACATTACTCCCCTGACACCCCAATTAAAGCTGATGCTTCCATCCCCTGCTGGGAGACTTGAGGACGGGTCACATAGCCAGATCTCTTGCAGACACTCCCTAGCACAATTCTGGAGTGAGGCAACTTAACTGGGTGGCTAGACCCAGAGGAGCAACAGCACTCACTGTATTCTGGCTTCTAACAACTCCCACTTCTAGGGGAAGAGGAGTACACCAAATAAAGGGAATAATTCTTGGGAAAAAAGAATCATGATGTCAGGCCTTGAGCACCAGGTCTTTCCACTGGTGGGAAGTTTCTTCCAGCAGAGGCACGGTTGCAGTGCTAGGCTCAGCAGGAAAAATATTCAGCTCTAACCCAACAGTCAGACAGCCCTTGTGCATATGTCTTCATATGCACAAGAGTCTTGGATAAGGGAAGGTCTATTGTCCCTTATCTACCAACAAAGGCACATTTTTGGCGTCTCTCACAGGGGCTTGGCACAGGTGCAACTATAGAAAGATTTTCTGGAACACAACACGGTGACTGCATTGCCACAGGAGGAGCACCCTCCAGGTTCAGGCTTGCATGAGAGACAGAGTCACAATTCCTCCCCACTTGAAATATGAACATTTCTACAGATGAAAATAGGTGCCTGTTTGATATGAATAGCCAGAGCACTGGGATAGGAGTGTGTCTGAGAAGCATGTAGCTTTCCTGTTTACCAGGCAGAGGAGCTAAGGTGACTTCAATCCATTTTTCTGATAAGACCTTAATGTGACTCAATGAAAGCTCCTCCAGCCACTCTGTCAAGGCTGGGACCTCTGCCCACCATCAAGTATTGTATTCACTCACTTGCTTTAGCCACAACTGGTCCCTACCTAGGGACACGTCCCTACTGACCTGAAGCCTGAACCATCAAACCAGTAAATAATATACTGGGCTAAACACATAGATAGATAAATAAATAAATAAATAAATAAATGCACAGCATGAGGAAATGAGACAAACTTCAAGAGACCTCTACCATTCCAACGCCATAGGAGACAATAAACTTGCTCACACATCAAACATATTGCTACTACAACCAGCATATGAGAAATTCAACATACAAAGATTCTCTGGAACTAAGGAAATCTTATAGAGTCTTTATCCCTGAAAGCATGAAGAACCGAATTAGGCTATACATAACCATAAGCATTAAAGCTATATGACGAGTTGATAGGTGTAGCAAACCACCGTGGCACATGTATTCCTATGTAACAAACCTGCACGTTCTGCACATGTATCCTGGAACTTTAAAAAAATCAAAATCATGGCAAATATCCTCTAACACCATAGTGAAATCAAGATAGAAATCAACTCTAGAAGGGACCTTCAAAATTATACAAATACTTTGGAATTAAATAATCTTCTCCCAAATGATTTCTAAGTTAAAAATAAAACCAGAATATACATTCTTCTCATCAGCACATGGAACAATCTCCAAGATAGACCATATGAAAGAACCACAAAACAAGTCTCAGTAAACTTTAAAACCACACACCCAGTGTTCTCACTCATAAGTGGAAGTTGAACAATGAGAACACATGGACACAGGGAGGGGAACAACACACACCTGTCAGGGGGTGAGGGGCCAGGAGAAGGAGGGCATTAGGACAGATACTTAGTGCATGCTGGGCTTAAAATCTACATGATGGGCTGGGAACGGTGGCTCACGCCTGTAATCCCAGCACTTTGGGAGGCCGAGGCGGGCAGATCTTGAGGTCAGGAGATCAAGACCATCCTGGCTAACATGGTGAAATCCCGTCTGTACTAAAAGTACAAAAACTTAGCCTGGCGTGGTGGCGGGCACCTGTAGTCCCAGCTACTCGCGAGGCTGAGGCAGGAGAATGACGTGAACCTGGGAGGTGGAGCTTGCAGTGAGCCGAAATCGCACCACTGCACTCCAGCCTGGGTGACACAGCGAGACTCCATCTCAAAAAACAAAAAAATTCCTTAAATTGAATGATATTAATAGCTCAAGTTTTCAATAACTGTGGGATACAGAAAAAGCAGTGTTTAATAGGAAAGTCTATAGCACTAAATGCCTGCATCAAAAAGTCTCAAAGAACACAAACTGACAACCTAATGTCACACCTCAAGAAACTAGTGAAATAAAAACAAACTAAACCCAAAGCAAGCAGAAGAAAAGAAATAACAAAAATCAGAGCAGAGCTAGATGACATTAAAACAAAAGAATACAAAAGATCAGCGGATTAGAAAGCTGGTTACTTGAACTTAAAAAATAAATAAAATTGATAGACCCTTAGCTAGATGAGCCAAGAAAAAGAGAGAGGATCCAAATAAGCTCAATTAGAAATGAGACTGGAGACATTACAACTGACACTACAGAAATACAAAAGATTACCTGACACTACTATGAACACTTTTATGTGCACAAACCAGAAAACTTAGAGAAACTAGATAAATTCCTGAAAAAGTACAACCCTCCTAGATTAAATCGGGAAGAAATAGAAACCTGAACAAATAACAAGCAGCAAGATTGAATTCATAATTTAAAAATGGCCAACATAATAAAAGCTCAGGACCAGATGGATTCACAGCTGAACTGTACCAGACATTCAGAGAAAAATTGTTACCAATCCTAGTGAAACCATTTCAAAAGATTGAGAGAAAGGGAACTGATATCGTTTGGCTGTGTCCCCACCCAAATCTTACATTGAATTTCCACCTGTTGTGGGAGGGAACCAATGGGAGGTGATTGAATCATGGGGACAAGTCTTTTCTGTGCTGTTCTCATGATAATGAGTCTCATGAGATCTGATGTTTTTAAAAAGAAAAGTTACCCTGCACAAGCTCTCTCTCTTTGTGTCCTGCCATTTATGTAAAATGAGACTTGCTCCTCCTTTCCTTCCACCATGATTGTGATGTTTCCCCAGCCATGTGTAATTGTAAGTCCATTAAACCTCTTTCTTTTGTAAATTGCCCAGTCTCAGGTATGTCTCTATCAGCAGCATGAAAACAGATTAATACAGTAAATTGGTACCACTAGAGTGGGATATTGCTGAAAATATACCCCAAAATGTGAAAATGACTTTGGAACTGGGTAACAGGCAGAAGTCGAAACAGATTAGAGGCTCAGAAAAAGACCGGAAAATGTGAGAAAATTTAGAACTTCTCACATGTCAAAATGGCTTTGACAAAAAATGCTGATAGTGATATGAACAATAAGATCCAGGGCGAGGGGGTTTCAGATGGAGATGAGGAAATTGTTGGGAACTGGAGCAAAGGTGACTCTTGTTATGTTTTAGAAGAGAGACTGGTGGCATTTTGCCCCTGCTCTAGAGATTTGTGGAACTTTGAACATGAGAGAGATGATTTAGGGTATCTGCCAGAAGAAATTTCTAAGCAGCAAAGCATTCAAGAGGTGACTTGGGTGCTGTTAAAGGCATTCAGTTTTATGAAGAAAGCAGAGCATAAAAATTCCAAAAAATTGCAGCCTGACAATGCAATAGAAAAGAAAGTCCCATTTTCTGAGGAGAAATACAAGCCTGCTGCATTAATTTGCATATGTAATGAGAAACTATATATTAATCTCCAAGACAATGAGGAAAATGTCTTCAGAGCATGTCAGAGGTCTCCACAGCTACCCCTCCCATTACAGGACCTAAAGCCTAGGAGGAAAATGTGGTTTTATAGGCTGGGCCCAGGGTCTCCATGATGTGTACAGCCTAGGGAATGGTGCCCTGTGTCCCAGCCACTCCAGCTGTGGCTGAAAGGGGCCAATGTAGAAAAGGCCTGTGGCTTCAGAGGATGAAAGCTTCAAGCTTTGGCAGCTTCCATGTGGTGTCAAGCCTCTGGGTACACAGAAGTCAAGAATTGAGGTTTGGGAACCTCCACCTAGATTTCAGAAGATGTATGCAAATGCCTGGATGTCCCAGCAGAATTTTACTGCAGAGGTGGGGCTCTCATACAGAACCTCTGCTAGGGCAGGGTGGAAGGGAGATGAGAGGTTGGAGCTCCTACACGGAGTCCTACTGAGGCACTGCTGAGTGGAGCTGTGAGAAAAGGACCACTGTCCTCCAGATCCCAGAATGCTAGATTCACTGACAGCTTACACTGTGTGCCTGGAAAAGCCAGACACTCAACACCAGCCCATGAAATCAGCTGGGAGGGAGGTTATACCCTGCTAAGCCAAAAGGGCAGAGCTGCCCAAGATCATGGTAACCCACCTCTGGCATCAGCATGACCCAGGTGTGAGACATGGAGTCAAAGGAGATCATTTTGAAACTTTTAAGTATCAGTTATGTCTTTACAGCAGTGTGGAAATGGACTATTACTGAACTCTTCCCTAAATCGTCCTATAAATCGAGTATCACCCTTATAGCAAAACCAGGTAATGACATAACAAAACAAAAAGAAAACTACAGACCAATATTCCTGATGAACATAGATGCAAAAATTCTCAACAAAATACCAGTTAACAAAATTCAACAGCACATCAAAAAAATAATACACCATGATCAAGTGGGTTTCATCCCAGGGATGCAGGGATAGCTTAACATACATAAGTCAATAAATGTGACATATCACATACAAAGGATTAAAAGCAAAAACTATGGCATCACCTCAACAGATGCAGAAAAGGCATTTGATTAGTTGCAGAATCTCTATATGATAAAAAGTCTTAAAAGACTCAGCATTGAAGGCACTTACCTCAAAATAATAGAAAGCCATACCTGACAAACCCACAGCCAGCATCATACTGAATGGGAAAATATTTAAAACATTCTTCCAGAGAACTGGAATCAGAAAAGGATGTCCACTTTCTCCACACCTATTTAACATAGTTCTGGAAGTCCTAGCCAGAACAAAGACTCTTAGATTTGATAAACAAATTCAACAAAGTCTCAGGTTACACAATCAATGTACACAAGTCAGTGGCACTGTTATACAAAAACAATGACCAAGCTGAGAATAAAATCAAGAACTCAATCCCTTTGACAACAGCAACAAAGAAAAAATAAACTGCCTAGGAATATCTTTAACCAGGGAGGTGAAAGATCTCTACAGGCAGAACTACAGCACACTGTTCAAATAAGTCATAGATGACACACACCCACACAAAATATGGAAACATTCAATGCTCATGAATTGGAAGAGTCAATATTATGAATATAACCATACTGCCCAAAGCAATTTACAGATTAAATGTAATTCCCATTAAAATACCAACATTTTTCACGAATTAGAAAAACATTCCTAAAAATTGTATGGAATAAAATAAAAGCTCAAATAGCCAAAGAAATCTTAAGCAAAAAGAACAAATGTAGAGGCATCATATTACCAACTTCAAATTATACTATAAGACTATAGTTACCAAAAGAGCATGGTACTGGTATAAACACTGGCACATGGTCCAATAGAACAAAATAGAGAACACAGAAATAAAGCCAAATACATATAGCTAACTGATCTTCGACAAAACATAAAAAATATAAATTGAGGAGCAGACACCCTATTTATAAATGGTCCTGGGAAAACTGGCAACCCACAGGTAAAATAATGAAAGTGGATCCCTATCTCTTACTGTATACAAAAATTAACTGAGAATGAATGAAAGGCTTAAATCAAAGACCTGAAACCATAAAAATTCTAGATGACAATGTTAGAAAAACTCTTTTAGATACCCACCTTGGAAAAGAAATCATGAGTAAGACTCCAAAAGCAAAAGCAACAAAAACAAAAATAATTAAATAGTAATAATTAAATAATTAAACTAAAAAGTTTCTGCACATAAAAGACAGAGTAAACAGCCAACTCAAAGAATTCGAGAAAATATTTGCAAACTATGCATCCCGAAAAAAGCCTAGTATCAAGAATCTACAGGGAACTGAAACAAATCAGTAAGAAAAAGAAAATAATCCCATCAAAAAGTGGGCAAAGGACATGAATAGACATTTCTCAAAAGAAGATATAGAAATGGCCAATAAACATGCAAAATAATGCTCACTGTCACAAATAATCAGGGAAATGCAAATTATAATAAAACCAAAATGAGATACCACCTTATTCCTGCAAGAATGATCATTATTAAAAAATCAAAAACCAATCGATGTTGGTGTGGATGTGGGGAAAATGGAACCCTTATACACTGCTGATGCAAATGTAAATTAGTACAAACTCTAAGGAAAATAGTATGGAGATTCATTGAAGAGCTAAAAGTAGTTCTACCATTTGATCCAGCAATTCCACTTCTGGGTATCTACTCAAAGGAAAATAAGTCATTATATGAAAAAGCCACCTACACACATATGTTTAGAGTGGTGCAATTCACAATTGCAAAATGTGGAACCAACCTAAGTGCCCATCGACTAATGAGTAGATAAAGAAAATATGCTATATATACACCATGGAATACTACTCAGTCATATAAAGAAGTGAAATAATGTATTTAGTAACAACTTGGATGGAGCTGGAGGGCATTATTCTAAGTAAGGTAACGCAGGAGTGAATAATCAAAAACTGTATGTTCTCACTTAAAAGAGGGAGCTAAGCTATGAGCATGCAAAGACATACAGGGTCATATAATGGATTTTAAAGACTCAGAAGGGGGAGGGTGGGGTGAGGCTAGGGATACAAAACTACATATTAAATATAATGTACACTACTTGAATGACTAGTGAACTAAAATCTCAGAATTCACCACTATATAATTCATCCATATAACAAAAAAAACCACTTTTACCCCAAAAGCTATTAAATTAAAACATTTTAAAATGAAATTAAATTAAGAATGCTAGCAAATAAATGCTGTAATAAAGACATGTTTACCTTTTTTCAAAAGTGTTACATTTTTATGCCTAAAATATTAGCTAAGATGTTTTTTTTAAAAAAAACCTTTACAATGATAGGCTGAACAAAAAACTTCCTGAAGAAAGTAATGCCTCCTGGCATTGTGGAAAAAAAACAAACAACAAAAAACAAAACAAAACAAAACAACAACAACAAAAAAGCACTTTGACTTACTAGATGTTCAGTTTGTTTATGTGGAAAATTAAAGGGTTAGATGTAATGTTGTGTACTAGAAAGCAGTATAACTTTCAAATCAGAGAGTTCAAGCTCCAAACCCCAGCTTTAAAAGCCTGGAAAATACGAAATTAATTAAAATAATTAGTTATAATGTATATGTTTTACTTTTGTAGAAAGAAATACTTGGCAGCCTTTTTAAAGAATACTGCCTGCATGTAGATAGTTGTAGAAATTTTGCTATAAAATTTTTCCTCAAATATAATGTCAACTGAATAAAGTGAGTTGGTAAAAAGTAAAATGCGATTTTTATTTTTATTATCGTTAGCACACTAATACAGGAACAGAAAACCAAATACCACATGTTCTCTTATAAGTGGGAGCTAAATGATGATAACACATGGACACATAGTGGGGAACAACAGACACTGGGTCCTTTCAGAGGGTGTAGCGTGGAAGGAGAGGGAGGATCATGATGAATAACTAATGGGTACTAGGTCTAATACCTGGGTAATGAAATAAACTGTACACAGACTCCCATGACACAAGTTTACCTATATAACAAACCTGGACTTGTACTCCTGAACTTAAAATAAAAGTTAATAAGAGAAAAAAAGTCTGCATAGATATAGAGTGTTTCTGAGATTATATATGAAAATATTAATGTAGATTTCTTTTGGGTAAAGGGAATTAGGTTCTCAGATGCTATAGCCACTCTCTTTGTATGATACTACATTTTGCACAGTTCAAATGGCTTGTTGTTTACATGCATTATAGTTTAAGTTTTTTTTGAAATTCCAACCATTGTATTTACTAGGCAACTTTAGGCAAGTATATGCATCTCTATGGGTTTTAGTTCCCTACTATATAAACTGAAACAAAATGTATTATACTGAACAGCTGCAAAAATTAGTTACTGTGTAAGAAAAAAATACTCAGTTCATAGTATTCTGCAGTGTGATATGACCCTAAACTGTACTTGAATGAAAGCAAATGTTTCCTGTGAATGACACTGAATCATCATGAATCGCCTAATCACAGCCAAATTGACCAGGGATAGGCAAATGCCACATGGGTAACAAATCTCTTTCTTGTCCAGCAATTTATGGATACAAACCAACAGAAGGTGAAAAATGTTGTGAAGTTTTTCTCCTCCCTTTAGTTAAAATGCTTCCATTAGTTACTCTTAACATACCAAGCAGAGTAAGCCATTTTACCTATAAAATAATCTTGTTAAAATGGAAAAATATTATTTTGTAATATGAAATACTTACTGGTTTATCCTGCAGACACATTTTCAAATCTTAATATCAAGCAAACTTGTATCAGGATCTCCCACCTCCAACTTTGAGCATAAATGAATGTTTGATGAATGTTAACCCAATGTCCAGAAATTCCAAATAGGTAGAATTCATAAAGTAAACTTTTGAGTAAGTTACAACTCTTTTTCTCACAAGTGAAGAGGAGCTCAAATAAACTGGCTTAATCAAAAGAATTTATTGCCTCATGTTACTAAATAATATCTGGGAGTAAGTCTTTGTTTCAAGCATGGCTTGATATAGAGGACCAAATAAATGTTAAACAATCCTGTTTCTTTCTGTGTATTGCTTTGGTACACTTTCTCTGGGTTGGTTTCAGTCCTTACAGATTCTTTTCTCATAGTAATTAGAGGACTATGCTAACTCTAAACCAATTCCAACATAAAAAGAATGTCTGATGAAATGCTTTGGCTCTGTGTCCTTACCCAAAACTCACTTTGAATTGTAAAACTCCATGTGTCATGGGAGGGACCTGGTGGGAAGCAATTGAATCATGGGAGTGAGCTTTTCCAGTGCTGTTCTTGTGATAGTGAATAAGCCTCGTAAGATCTGATGGTTTTATAAAGGGGAGTTACCCTGCACATGCTCTCTTGACTGCCATCATGTAAGACTGGACTTCGCTCTTCCTTCACCTTCTGCCATGTTTGTGAGGTCTCCCCAGCCATGTGGAACTGTGAGGCCGTTGTACCTCTTTCCTTTATAAATCATCCAGCCTTGGATATGTGTTTATTAGCAGCATGAGAACAGACTAATACATCTGATTTCTTGATAGGACCAACAAAAGTCCAGGAATTGAGTCTCATTGTCTCTAATTAGCTTGATCTTTGTCATAAACTCAATCCTGAATCAAAAACTATAGACAGAGGAATAGAATGTGATTGTTGTAGGCTTATGCCATAAATTTGTATCCATAGAGCTTGTATTATACTTAGTTTCACCTGAAGTACATAGTGTGAAATTAAAATTAGTATATTTAAATAAAGAAAAGTGGTTTCTGGGTGGCCAAAACAAAACAAATGTTAACTACAAGAAAACGGGTTATATAGCAGCATAAACCTCAACTAAAGTGTATTTCATATGCAAAGATATACTGTTGGTAGTACCAACAACTGTCGTGTGACATTGCATTTAACAATTCCTTGTTAAAGTATTCCCACTACATAGACATAGGAAGATAGAAGAGAATGGATTTCCAAGAAGTACAGGAAAAATCCCAAACATGATGTAAAAATGTGTAATGTGAAAAAGCAATGACAGAACCAACACCAGAAGAGAGCTATTATCCCATAGTCAGGAAATGTCTGCCCAATATCTTATCTCCTTCCTTACACAGAGTCCTAATTTTATTTATACAGAGAATTTTCCAAAGAAATGCAATTCTAATGTTACATAAAATATCAACAGAAAAGCAGATTTTTATTTGCATATTTTGTTACATTTATACCTAAGTATTTCATTTTGGGAGATGCTAATTCACATGGTATTGTGTATTTAATTTTGGATTCCAATTGTTCTTTTCTCTTAATTTTTTAGTTTTAAATTTTGGGGGTACATAAGAGGTGTATATTTTTTATTACTTATATATATAAAAGCAATTGAATGGATTTTGTACATTAACTTTGCATCATGCAATCCTGTTATAATTGCTTATTAGTTCCAGGATAGTCAACTTTGTCAATTTTTAAAAAAAATTTCTACATAGGCAATCATGTCATCTGTGAACAATAACAACTTTATTGCTTCCTTCTCAATCTGTTTATCTTTTACTTCTTTTTTCTTGTCCTCTTGCATTAGCTAAGATTTGCTGCACAATATTGAAAAGGAATGGTGACAGGGACATCCTTGCCATGTTCCTCATTTTGGTGGTAAAATGTCTGGTTTACCATCATGGATTATAATCTTATCTGTAGGTATTTTTGAGATTCTTTATAAATTTTAGATAGTTTCCCTAGACTACAGTACATTTTTATGGCTAGAAAAGTTTGAGCCTGTCATGCATTAATAATTTGGTTTCCTTGAGTGTTCTTAGTTTTGCAAGGCAGTGCAAAAATTCACACTCACACAGAGTCCTAGATGAGTTTTCTGCCTTTTGAATTGATTATTCTATACCGTAAGCCTGCCTAATCAGATACTACCACAGTCACTGAAAATGAATGCTTTCATAGATCCTTGCTCTCTTAGTCATGTAATCACCACGCAAGGAAGACAGGGAGTGGAGCTGACAATTAGATGACACACAAGGCTGTATTCCACTCTCAGGAATCCTCACAGGAACTGTTAACAGCAGTAGAAAATAATGGTGGAATAATTTTAAATGCTTTAATTCAACTCTAGGTCATATGTATATTCTTTAACAACA
Source organism: Homo sapiens (assembly GCF_000001405.40). Taxonomy (NCBI): domain Eukaryota; kingdom Metazoa; phylum Chordata; class Mammalia; order Primates; family Hominidae; genus Homo; species Homo sapiens. The sequence goes on along the minus strand of NC_000023.11, from coordinate 81,779,710 downwards.
GGTAGTTAAAGTCCCAGGGACCCAAGTTAAGGCAAAATGTCAGAAATATGTTGAAATCACATAAAATTAAACTTAATTTTCAGGCATACAAGGCATCCTCTGAAAAATCCAGAGATAGTAAGAAAATTATTTGCATTGACTGAGGTCCTATGAGTGTTGGTAGAAACAAAGACCAGTAGAATTTGAGTTGTTAATAACATAATTCACAAGCTGGTGCTGAACCTCGTACAGATTTTAATACATAATCCTTGTTTTGTAACACACTCTTATTAGTCCATGTATGGTCCTCTTTTGCTTTTCTAATTATATAGAAAATACCTGAGAATTAACAGCCCAACATGGAAACTAGAAAAATGACAGTGATTTACATTGTAATTAAATTAATTTCTCCACTTTATGTATCAATATATGTTTAATCAATGTTTTCAGCATTTTTAATCAAAATCAGCTTTAAATATATGAATATATTTAGTGAACAAAATTGACATTGTGTCATGTCTAATGAGAAAATATAGGAAGCAAATAGAAGGGGCAGCAAAATAGTACTTAAGTAATGTCTTGCTTAAGCTAAAATTTAAAATATAAAAAGGAGTTTGTTAAATGAAGGGACATATGGGGAGAAATGCCTATTTTAGATTTGAAAGGTTCTACAAGGGCTACCTTGTCCACATCTTCTCCTAATTTAATAACCACTTCCCCTTATAGAATTCCAGCTTCCAGTTAAAAACCTTTGGTAAAGGGAAACTCATTACTTCACTGTCTTGTTGCACATTTCTGATTGTTGGGAGATTTACTCTTATGTTTAACACTATTTCTTACACTACAAAACTAAAAACGTTGTAAGACATAATTAAAAGCACTCTCTGAGTGGAGTCCCCGCTTTGACACTTACTGGCTGTGAGACTTCAGGAGTTTGTAAATCTCTTTAATTCACATAGTTATAAATGAAATTACATTGTCATGGTTACCACCAACATTAAATGAATTCAGATTTCTTGTTAAGCATACTCATTTATCATATTTCCTTTATGTACTACAGAGTAAAATAAATAGACATAACTTATCAGACTGCAAGCTCTAAAATTGCATCAATCTTATTTACCACTGTATCCCTGAAATTTAAAACACACAAAATGTACTCTAAAAATTGTTAAATGAACAACTGACTTTAAGGAATATACAAAATCAGTTAAGAACATAGATCTGAATGGATCTTAAATATGAACTACAAAGAATAAAGTACATGATGTGAAATGCTACCCTAGCATTCATCGGTGGCCCCCAAATAACACAGTATTTGAGTTGCGCACAAAACAAGTTAACTGATAAACAGAAGGTCTAAGGTCTAAAACTGTAGCTTTCCTTGTGTTTATTGTCATTGTAATTATCAGTTGTCATTATCATCATAGCAACAATTATTGGGCATTTTTATGTTCCAGGCACTGTGCTTAGTGCTTTACATGAGTTAATTAATTTAATTCTCACAATGACTTAATGAAATAGCTACTATGATTATTGACCTCATTAGATAAAAGGCCTTGATAAATTAACTAAGTTGCACAAGACCAAACCCATAGAAAATTGCAAAACAGTGCCTCAGATGCATTCTATTTTTTATTCCAAAGTTGACACTCTGAACCACTATTCTATACTTCTGCAAGAGTCACTCATGCCAGCAAGTGCTCTGGCTTTTCTGAGGCATGCCAGACCCCATGCAAGGGGTCCAAAATTGGGTTCCACCTGTGTCAGCGTCTTTGGCAAGGGTGATAGTGGAGCTTGAAGAGCCAAGACCACGGGCCATGGTGCTGGGGAGGCACAGCTGTGAAAAATGGCTCTCTTAGCATTATTATGTTGTTTTTCATCCGTTCATGATATTGGCATAAGTCCTTTCCAGGCTTTTTCAAAATGCCTCAATCTAAACAAAACGTACCCACTTTGTTCTTTGTTACAAGCCCTATCCAGCTAGATAACTTCTAACTAACAGATACTCTTCTGAATCAAAGGTTTAATTTACAGTCATGTACCACATAATGACATTTCAATAAATGATGAACTACATATATGACGGTGCTCCTATATGTTTATAATAATCTGTTTTTACTGTACTTTTTCTATACTTAGATATGTTTATATATGCAAGTACTTACCATTGTGTTACAATTCCCTATAGTACTCAGTACAGTCATATACTGTACAGGTCTGTAGCCTAGGAGCAATAGGCTATGTATATAGCGTGGGTGTAGGCTGTACCACATAGGTTTATGTAAACACATTCTATGATGTTGGCACAATGATGAAATTGCTAAAGGATACATTTCTTGAGAATGTATCCCCATTTTTAAGCAACACATGACTGTATTTTCATTTTAATGGAGTGCTTTGGTTATGTTATTTTATCCCTTAAGAGGTGTACTAATATGGGACATGCTAGCTTGGCAGCAGGTAGGTAGAAGCAAACTGCGTATTGTTATCCCATTAGATATCCTGATCTAGACAGCCATATTCCACATACTTTAAGGTCACTCCTGTCTTTAGAAATCTGGCTATAATCTGTTTGAGTATTGATATTTATGTCTATGTTATGTGATATGGTTTGGCTGTGTACCCATACAAATCCTATCTTGAATTGTAACTCCCACAATTCCCACATGTTGTGAGAGGAGCTCAGTGGGAGGTGATTGAATTATGGGGGCAGATCTTTCCTGTGTTGTTCTCATGATAGTGAATAAGTATCATGAGATCGATAGTTTTGCAAATAGGAATTTTCCTGCACAAGCTCTTTCTTTGCCTGCCACCATCCATGTAAGATGTGACTTGCTCCTTCTTGCCATCCGCCATGATTGTGAGCCTTCTCCAGCCATGTGAAACTGTAAGTCCAATTAAACCTCTTTCCTTTGTAGATTGCCCAGTCTCATATATGTCTTTATCAGCAGTGTGAAAATGGACTAATACAATAAATTGGTACCAGTAGAGTGGGGTGTGGCTGAAAATATACCCAAAAATGTGGAAGCAACTTTGGAACTGGGTAACAGGCAGAGGTTGAAGCAGTTTGGAGGGCTCAGAAGAAGACAGGAAAACGTGGGAAAGTTTGGAACTTCCTAGAGACTAGTTGAATGGCTTTGACAAAAATGCTGATAGTGATATGAACACTAAGGTCGAGGCTGAGGTGATTTCAGATGGAGTTGAGGAACTTGTTGGGAACTGGAGCATAGGTGACTCTTGTTATGTTTTAGCAGAGAGACTGGTCACATTTTGCCCCTGCCCTAAAGATTTGTAAAACTTTGAACTTGAGAGAGATGATTTAGGGTATCAGGTGGAAGAAATTCTAGCAGCAAAGCATTCAAGATTTGACTTGGGTACTGTTAAAGGCATTCAGTTTTAAAAGGGAAACAGAGCATAAAAGTTAAGAAAATTTGCAGTCTGACAATGTGATAGAAAATAAAATTCTATTTTCTGAGGAGAAATTCAAGCCTGCTGCATTACTTTGAATAAGTAACGAAGAGCTGAAAGTTAATCTGCAAGACAATGAGGAAAATGTTTCCAGAGCATGTCAGAGGTCTTCACGGCAGCCCCTTCCATCACAGGCCTGGAGGCCTAGGAGGAGAAAGTGGTTCTGTGGACTGGGCTCAGGGTCCTCGTGCTATGTGCAGTCTAGGGACTTGGTGCCCTGCATCCCAGCCACTCCAGCCATGACTAAAAGGGGCCAAGGTACAGAGCAGGCTGTGGCTTTGGAGGGTTCAAGCCCCAAGCCTTGGAAGCTTCCATGTGGTGTTGAGCCTGTGGGTGCACAGAAGTCAAGAATTGAAGTTTGGGAACCTCCTCCTGGATTCCAGAAGATGTATGGAAACACCTGGATGTCCAGGCAGTAGTTTGCAGCAGGAGTAGGGCTGTCATGGAGAACCTTTGCTAGGGCAGTGTGGAAGGAAAACGTGGGGTCAGAGCCCCCACATAGAGTTCCCCACTGGGGCACCACCTAGTGGAGCTGTGAGAAGAGGGCCACTGTCCTCCAGATCCCAGAATTGTGGATCCACTGACAGCTTGCACTCTTTGCCTGGCAGAGCCACAGACACTCATCACCAGCCAGTGAAATCAGCTGGAAATTAGGCTGTACCTTGAAAAGCCACAGAGGCAGAGCTGCCCAAGACCATGGGAAACCACCTCTTGCATCAGCATGACCCAAATGCGAGACATGGAGTCAGAGGAGATCATTTTGGAGCTTTAAGATTTGACTGCCCTGCTAGATTTTGGACTTTCCTGGGTCTTGTAGCCCCTTCGTTTTGGTGAATTTCTCTCATTTGGAATAGCTATATTTACCCAATCCCTGTACCCTCATTGTATCTAGGAAGTAACTAACTTGCTTTTGATTTTACAGGCTCATAGTCAGAAGGGACTTGCCTTGTCTCAGATGAGATGTTGGACTGTGGACTTTTGAGTAAATGCTGAAATGAGTTAAGACTTTGGGAGACTGTTGGAAAGGGATGATTGGTTTTGAAATGTGAGGACATAATATTTGTGAGGGGCCAGGGGCAGAATGATATGGATTGGCTGTGTCCCCACCCAAATCTCATCTTGAATTGTAACTCCCACAATTCCCATTTGTCATGGGAGGAACCCAGTTGGAGGTAATTGAATTATGGGGGCAGGGGTTTTCTGCACTGTTCTTGTGAGAGTGAATGAGTCTCATGAGATCTGATGGTTTTAAAAATGGGAATTTCCCTGCAGAAGCTCTCTCTGTTCTCCTGTGGCTGTCCACTAAGATGTGACTTGCTTCTCCTTGCCTTCCACCATGAGCGTGAGGCCTCCCCAGCCATATGGAAATGTGAGTTCTCCATTAAACCTCTTTTCTTTGTTAATTGCCCAGTCTCGAGTATGTCTTTATCAGCAGTGTGTGAACAGACTAATAGATTATGTAACAGCAATTAGTAAATAAGTAATTAGACACTCCACCATTAAGCACTTAATTCTTCATTAAAGAAACCCTACCCTTTGAGCCACTGATATTCACAACAGAAAAGCTGCTCACAGAAGAAGATCCGAGTCATTGAAAGTTGCCAATAAAACAGTCATTCAGGGTTTCTTACTCCTCTATTGACATCAAGTGCACTTAATGTGCGCAGTAACCTCCTGGGTAATATTCAAACTCTGGATAAGACATAATATTAGCTCAATACGAAGGAGGATGGTGACTAGACTATTCTACCCTTACTATTTTATTTTCTAATCTTAAGAAGAAATGCAGGGGGTGACATAAAATGCAAGGATATAACCCCATTGTCAAAGACTGAAAGATCCCTAGAAAGCCCGGGATCTGTTTAAGGAAAGAAATGTATTCTGACAGCTGAAATCTACACTCAACTGAGGGAGAAGGCTTGTGGCCTTGAAGTTTCATCTTCTTGAGCCTCTTTGGGATCTGCATTCCTGCAGCACTTGAAATGTATTATCTAGCTCACTAATACACCTCTTGGCAAACAGCCTGGTATTGTTTCTTCTCTGTTCACATGGGGGAACAGGTATGAGCCTGGTTTTGCCAAACCGTCTGAGTTTGAGTTTCAGGTTCTTGCTTATTGCATGTCTAACCTCAAGTAGATTATTTAACTTCTCTATACCTTAAATTTTCTCATCTGTAAGATGAAGATTGTATTATCAACATACAGGAATATTGTAATAGTTTGTCTGGACAACATATATAAAGTACTTAAAATGATTCCTTGTACATACTATAAACTCAGTAAGCATTAGCTCTAATGATATCTACAGGTATCTTCTTACCTTAATGAGATTGTATATTTCCTGAGGGCTAAGTGCCTGGAGTAGAGTAGCTACTCACTAAAGGTCACTGTTTTATTTACCAAGTAAGAAGGAACAACCTCCTTAAAATGCTTTGCCCCGTTTAACAACTTTAAGACACTGGCTGCCAGACTCACACAAAATGGATATTTATGCAAATGAAAAGGGGAAGATGCCACATATATCTATAATAAAAATCAATACATTAACTAGGTTGTGTCACATTTATATCCTTTACAATGCACTTCCATAACCACTACTTTATTTTACACCCGTGGAAACTGCAGCTCAGAAAGTTTAGGTGATTCGCCAGAAGTCATGCACCTAAAAGTGACGAAGCAAGAATTTAAACACACCTTTCCTGAATAGGAAATCCTTTCCATTTATCCCCCTAGTTTCTTTTGAAGCATCAGGCAGGCAGCCATCTCAAACACAACCCTTACACCTCCTAACTTACAGATGGTTGTATTTTAACCTTTTATTTGTAGGTTGGCTGCACTAGGACTGACAATGTATCCTATCATACACACAGTATTATGGCAGTTAAATCCCTAAGCCAGGCCACAAAAACCTCTGTAACTCACATGCACCTGAGTTAAGAAATTTGAAAACCTAACCATCAGAAATTGTCTTTTGATTCAAATCTCAAAATATTTTGTTTATACCGGTCATATAGTATTTAACAATGACCTACCTTGAATTATAGTCATGATTACATAGATCAGAAGCCATGTTTTAATCATATATATCTCTGATTGCACCTGGCGCAGTACCTTGCACATACTAGCTATTCAGTGTTTCCTAAATTGGCCAGTTAAGTTTGGAGGAGGACTGCTTTAATTTCCTAACTCAAAGGCACCATTATTCAGTGAGCCTTGGGGTCAGACAGAGTTGGCCTTGAGTCCCTACTTTAGAACTTTTGGAGTAACAGCCAGCAGATTCACACTCCAGAACCTTGGTTTCCTTATATTAAAAGTCAGAATACTGTATAGATTATTTAAAATTATTTAATGAACACACTTGGCACAGTGCTTAGTGCATTGTTGGTTTTTAATTAAATTCATTGATATTTTTATTTATTTTTAATTTTAATTACTTTTTTATTTTTATTTTATTATTATTATACTTTAAGTTTTAGGGTACATGTGCACAATGTGCAGGTTAGTTACATATGTATACATGTGCCATGCTGGTATGTTGCACCCATTAACTCATTTAGCATTAGGTATATCTCCTAATGCTATCCCTCCCCACTCCCCCCACCCCACAACAGTCCCCAGAGTGTGATGTTCCCCTTCCTGTGTTCATGTATTCTCATTGTTCAATTCCCACCTATGAGTGAGAACATGCGGTGTTTGGTTTTTTGTCCTTGCGATAGTTTACTGAGAATGATGATTTCCAATTTCATCCATGTCCCTACAAAGGACATGAACTCATCATTTTTTATGGCTGCATAGTATTCCATGGTGTATATGTGCCACATTTTCTTAATCCAGTCTATCATTGTTGGACATTTGGGTTGGTTCCAAGTCTTTGCTATTGTGAATAGTGCCGCAATAAACATACATATGCATGTGTCTTTATAGCAGCATGATTTATAGTCTTTTGGGTATATACCCAGTAATGGGATGGCTGGGTAAAATGGTATTTCTATTTCTAGATCCCTGAGGAATCGCCACACTGACTTCCACAATGGTTGAACTAGTTTACAGTCCTACCAACAGTGTCAAAGTGTTCCTATTTCTCCACATCCTCTCCAGCACCTGTTGTTTCCAGACTTTTTAATGATTGCCATTCTAACTGGTGTGAGATGGTATCTCATTGTGGTTTTGATTTGCATTTCTCTGATGGCCAGTGATGGTGAGCATTTTTTCATGTGTTTTTTGGCTGCATAAATGTCTTCTTTTGAGAAGTGTCTGTTCATATTCTTCGCCCACTTGTTGATGGGGTTCTTTGTTTTTTTCTTGTAAATTTGTTTGAGTTCATTGTAGATTCTGGATATTAGCCCTTTGTCAGATGAGTAGGTTGCGAAAATTTTCTCCCATTTTGTAGGTTGCCTGTTCACTCTGATGGTAGTTTCTTTTGCTGTGCAGAAGCTCTTTAGTTTAATTAGATCCCATTTGTCAATTTTGGCTTTTGTTGCCATTGCTTTTGGTGTTTTAGACATGAAGTCCTTGCCCATGCCTATGTCTTGAATGGTAATGCCGAGGTTTTTTTCTAGGGTTTTTATGGTTTTAGGTCTAACGTTTAAGTCTTTAATCCATCTTGAATTGATTTCTGTATAAGGTGTAAGGAAGGGATCCAGTTTCAGCTTTCTACATATGGCTAGCCAGTTTTCTCAGCACCATTTATTAAATAGGGAATCCTTTCCCCATTGCTTGTTTTTCTCAGGTTTGTCAAAGATCAGATAGTTGTAGATATGCGGCATCATAATAGTGTATATATTCAAACACTATGTGTGATGTTTTGATACAAGCATACAATATGTAATAATAACATCAGGGTTATAGGGGTATTCATTAACTCAAGTATTTATTGTTTCTTTCTGTTAAGAACATTCGAATTCCACTCTTTTAGTTATTTTAAAATATACAATAAATTATTGTTGACTATAGTCAACTGTTGTGCTATCAACTCGTAGATCTTATTCATTCTATCTAACTTTATTTTTGTACCCATTAATTGTCCCCACTCCACACCGCGACCCCCACTGCTACCCTTCCCAGCCCTTAGTAATCCTCATTCTACTTTCTATCTCCATGAGTTCAATTGTTTTCATTTTTAGCTCCCACATATAAGTGGGGACATGCAAAATTTGTCTTTCTGTGCGAGGCTTATTTCACTTAATGTAATATCCTTCAGTTCTGTCCATGTTGTTTCAAATGATAGGATTTTATTATTTTTATGGCCGAATAACATTCCACTAAATGTATGTGGAATGTTTTCTTCATGAATGTGTTGATGGACACTTTGATTGATTCTAAATCTTGGCTATTGAGAATAATGCTACAATTAACATGGGAGTACAGATATCTCTTCAATATACTGATTTTCTTTGTTTTGGATATGGACCTATCAGTGGGATTGCTGGATCACATGTTTTATTGTTTTTGATGATCCCCCATACTGTTCGCTACAGTGTCTGTACTAATTTACATTCCCAACAACAGTGTACAAGAGTTCCTCTTTCTCCACATCCTCACCATATGTAGAATGAAACTAAGCCATTATCTCTCACCGTATGTAAAATCAAATGAAAATGGATTAAAGAAGTAAGTCTAATATCTCAAACTGTGAAACTAATAACAGAAATCTGTTCAGAAATGCTCCAGTACATCTGTCTGCACAAAGATTTATTAAATAATATTTCAAAAGCACAGGCCACAAAGCAAAAATGGACAAATGGGATCACATCAAGTTAAAAAGCTTCTGCACAGCAAAGAAAACAATCAACAAGCTGAAGAGACAACTCACATAATGAGATAAAATGCTTGCAAGCTATCCATCTGACAAGGTGTTAATAACCAGAATATATAAAGAGCTCAAACGACCTGATAGGAAAAATCAAATAATCCAGTTAAAGAATGGACAAAGCATTCAAATAGACATTTCTTAAAGAAGACATACAGATGGCCAACAGGTGTATGAAAAAGTGCTCAACATCAATAATCAACAGAGAAATGAAAAAAAAAACTACAATGAACTATTATCTCACCCCAGTTAAAATGGTTTTCATCCAAAAGACAGACAATAATGAATACTGGTGAGGTTGTAGAAAAGGGGGAACCCTCATTAAATGAATTGAATATTTCATATGAAACTGCAGATTTCCACTTAGGGACACACCAAGCAGTTATAATACTTGTTTTATTCTTATGGCTTGAATTTGTGAGGAAAACACTTCTTTAGATAGCCACCCTTTCTCCTTTTTTATATATAATCTCTAACAATATAAGAGAACAGTAACATGTACTTTTTTCTGGAGTAACTACCATCCATTTGCATAGTTCCAGGTAATTTGCATCCATAATCTCATTTAATCCACACTACAACTCTTTTTCTCCAAGAAAGATGCTTTGTAAGTAAAAAAAGGAATTTCTGCTAGATATTGTTAAATATTACCTGTCTTGAGATCTATGAAATTTATTTTATTTTATTTTAAATCAACTTTAATTTTAGATTCAGAGGATATATATGCAGTTTGTTACATGAGTATATTGCATGATGCTGAGGTTTGGGATCCAAAAAATCGTGTCACTCGAGAATAAGCACAATATCCAATAGTTCCTCAACCCTCGTCCCCCTTCCTCTTCTGGTAGTCCATACTTTCTTCTTTTTCTTTTCTTTTCTTTTTTTTTTTTTTTTTGAGATGGAGTCTCTCTCTGTTGCCCAGGCTGGAGTGCAGTGGCGCAATCTCGGCTCACTGCAAACTCTGCCTCCTGGGTTCAAATGATTCTCCTGCCTCAGCCTCCCAAGTAGCTGGGACTATAGTCACATGCCACCATGCCAGGCTAATTTTTGTATTTTTGTAGAGATGGGGTTTTGCCATGTTGGCCTGGTCTCAAACTCCTGACCTCAAGTGATCCACCTGCCTCAGCCTCCCAAAGTGCTGGGATTACAGGCGTGATCCACCATGCATGGCCGGTAGTCTGTAGTTTCTATTGTTGCCATCTTTATTTCGATGTGTGCCCAATGTTTAGCTCTCACTTATAAATGAGAACGTGCAGTACTTGGTTTTCTATTCCCGAGTTAATTTGCCTAGGATAATTGCCTCCAGCTGCATTCATGTTGCTGCAAAAGACATGATTCTTGTTCTTTTTAATGTCTGTATAGTATCACATGGTATAAGTGTGCCACATTTTCTTTATCCAATCCATAGTTTATGGCCACCAATGTTGTTTTCATATCTTTTCTATTGTGAATAGTGCTGCAATGAACATATGCATACTACGACTCTTAAAAGAGAGATATCATTAACCTTGTTTTACAGAAAAGGGAACGGAGGATCAAAGGAATTTAGAAACTTCTCCAATGTTAGAGAGTTTGCTGATGGCAGAATACAAATTAACTTGTTTCTTATATTGTAAAGCTTCATGTTCTTTCTACTGTATCCACTAATATGTTCACAGGTGATGTGAATCATGAAGCTTTGTATGCCTAAATGAATAAAACACGATTGATTTATATTTAAAAAACAAAATTGATCCATAGTTCTAGTTAGCCATCCATTCTTGACATTTTATACCAGGAATAAGGGCATGAGCTGAGGGCTTAGTGGAGACACAGAGTAAGTTACTGCTGCAGGTTCATGGGATGGTATAAAACCAACCAGTAGCAATGGCAAAAGATGAGAGAGTCTCTTGGATATTTTCTCCTGATTTTAACTCCTAGGAGCTACTCTGCCATGGAATATGTGCAAGATTTAGGATGAAAGATACAAAATTTCAACAAATTTAGTTTAAAGATCTGATTGACTTTTATTAGCAGTTCGTGATTCAGGCAGCACCTTAAATAAAGAATAAGCTAAGTGCTCTTTTGGACATGGCGGAGCAATTGGTTTTTATAAATAAGCTTGAGTAGAAACAAACAAAATTATACAAAAAGTGGATTTGTTACTACCAGGTTACTTCAGGTTGCTTTCCTTGTAAAGGTTAAAGCGGAGAGAACTTCTTTGATACACAAGCTAAACTGGTCTGTTTGGGGATTTGGCTGTCAGCTCCCTCCTGATTTCTCAAAAGGTCCGAAAAACAACTTAGTTTCAGTTTGGTGATGTGGAACTTGAGCATGAGTGACTCCATTTTGGCTTGGTCTTTTGGGGCATAGCGCAAGAGCTCAGTCCAAATAAATGGTCTCCCATAAATTTTAATTAACAAGGGATGGAGCATAAAGTTGCAGGTTCAGACTATTTTAAAAGGAGGGAAAGAAGCCTAGAGGTGTCTAATTTCTAACTTGAAAATAAAAGAGAAATGGGAGCTCCTCATAGAAAACATAGTATTTAGTACAGTGCTTTAGGATAACACAGACTGAGTTTCAATCTTTGTCTTAATGTGTTTTATGTGAATGACATTGGAGATATTATTTCATTTTTCCAAACCCAATTTTCTCATCCATGAGATATGGAAAATAATAGTACCCACTATGTAGGATTGCTTGAATGATTAAATGAGATAGTGCTATAGTTGTAATATTTCTGTCTTTTAAAAATTAATATCTTGAAACCTAAACCCCTAAGGTGATGGTATTCCCTTTGGAAGGTCATTAGTTCATGAGGGCTTTGCTCTCATAAATGGGATTATTGTCCCTGTAAAAAAAGTTTGAGAAAATTTGTTTGCCTCTTTTACTCTTTTCACCGTGTGAGAACCTAGCAAGAGGCATCAATCTATGAAGCACAGAGTGAGCCTTCAGCAGACATTGAATCTGCTGGCACCTTAAACTTGGACTATCCAGCCTCCGGAACTGTGAAAAATAAATTTCTATTATTTATTAAAATTATCCAGTCTAAAGTATTCTGCTAAAGCAGCTTGAATAAACTAGATATTTTTATTGTTTCCCCACACCTTACAAAGACAGAGAGTGAATACCAATTAATTAGACAGAACTAAGCACAGAAAATGTCCTCAATTAATGTTAACCATTACGATGATGATAATGATGATGTTGATGATAACAGTGATGATGATGAGCAGGATGATAGTTCCTATCATTGTTATGACAATCACTCTTACAATGGCAACTCAGGGTTTGTGGAAGCCATTTATACATAAGGGACACAAGTCTAGCATATGCAATAGCTGAATGAAACATTTGTATGAGAGGTTTTATGTTTACATCCTATGAGTACCCAGAAGGCTAAAAAAAAGTACAAAGAAAGCCATGAGGAAAGCTGAAATGGGACCCTAAATTTGTCCATGGATATTTCATAAAGTCAATAATTCACTGACAGAGAATTCATGAGCTCACTTCAGCATTAACAGCAAATTTTATAAAAAGGTAAGAAAAGAGGACTTTAAATATTTCAAAGTACTAAATATCTCACATCCCCAAAGATACAGAGATAGGAGAGATGAATCTATTTGAGTGAAAGATAAACTCACAGAAGGTGACGCTGAGAGATGAATTTCATTGTTACTAGTGTATGGTAACTTATTTGCCTTTTACCCAGGTATAAACATGTTCAGACATTCTGCTCTTGCTGATATAAATTTGAATACAATCTTGTAATAACTTTAATGAATTATGCTGTAATAATATCTTCATTAATAAGAGTGGTATTTGAGGTTGCTTAATGTCTAACACAAATACTAGACAAAGAGCAGAGAAATCAATTAGAGGGTTTACAGATTAAAGCTGCCCACCACCTCTTAAGTTTTGTGAAATGGTCAGCCAGTGTCTCTCTATCTACAGGGATCCTTTTTGGAATGGGGAGGAGAAGAGGAAAAAGGAGACTGTGATACAGCCTACTCATTGTTGCAAAATTACAATTATTGTTTCTCCACAACTTACAAACATTTCACACAGTTTTACACAGTCCATGCCACAAAACATACCAAGCAAACAACTGCCATATTAGTTAAGAGGCCTTCCATTTTACTTTGACAGTTCACGATAATGGAAGTTAATTGTGAAAAAGAGCAGAATAATTTTAGCTTAATGTCATTAGGTTCATTCAAACTGGAAATCAGGGACATATTTAACAAAGGTTTTGAAACTTCTTTTGAAATCAGGAAGCTGCTCTGCACAGATAAGAGGAGAGGTTTAAGAATTTTCTATCAGAAATTTCAAGGTTTTTTTCCATCTGCTTTTTCAAATTAACTGGTAATTATCCAGAAAGGCACATAATAGCACAGAAATGACAGAAGCCAACAAAGGTTTTCCTAAGATATGTAAATTGTCAGTGATCAGCAAGGTGCAACAGAAAGACTTTCTACAGCACAATTATTTATGCTAGTTCAGCTTGCATTTAGGTAGCAGTGAAGGTCTGTTACAGAGAAGCTCCTTATCACGGACCCTGCACATTAGCTTCCACCAGCACTAAGAAAACATGGCAAAAAGGTTGCTTAAAACACTGGTGATTATTCCTTATGTAGTAATTGTTTTCCAAAAAACAATATTTTTTTCACCAGCCTGCATATTAAACAATACAAATTTCCTTTATTTTTCTAGCATGCTATAGTTATTACTTTCCAGTTAATAGATACATATGAGTTTGTTCACACTATGAATGTAGATCTTCCCAAGAACCTATATACAATCAAACTATGGGTAACTCACGAGTTTCTGGGACATTTTTAGAGCATGCCCCTTCCTTATAGAGCCTCCTCCTGCCTGTAAAGGTTTCCCATGACCCATAAAAAAGAATATCCTGGCAAATCTGACTTGTACAAAGCCGTTGATTTATTCAGTTAATACATTCTCTGGTCTCAAAGCCCTTGATTTATTCACTTAATACATTTTCTGGTCTCTTAACAATTTTCAAAAGCTTAGTAATTTTCCTGATGTATAAAAGGAACCTAATAAACAGTAACAATATAAAACTTAAAATACTGATAATATTACTTACAACTATTATTTATGGAATGTTTACTAAAAGAAAAAAATTAATTCATTATATATTTACAACAACCCTATGAGATGCTTATTATTCTCCCAAGTTTACAGATGATAAAAGATACTCAGAAAAGCTCTTTAACATGTCCAAGAACAAACTTTGTAGATACTAAATTAAAATTTAGAACCCAGGTCTATTTTGTCTCTAAAGTCTATTATGTTAATCACTAGATGACATTATTTCTACAATGAGTATGTGTTGAAGAAAAAAAAATAAATGATGACATTCCTTATTACTTATCTCTCTCCAGAAGTCCCCTGTTTCTATCTATCTCACTTCTCCTTTTAGGTATTGCATTCATTTGCTTTCCATTCCCAGCTTTAACCCTGCCTTATGGATCTATATCACTCCTCAGCTCAATGATTCTATGAGTATTCTATCCAGATGAAATCCTAGACTTCACAAGACCCTTGAAGCCTCTCCCCTTGAATCCTGTTTCTATAGGTTGTCATAGTCTTCCCTGGTCTTGTACGCAGGGTCTAAATATTGATGAAAACAAAATCTAATCATCAAGAGAGTATTAAGCATTCCTTTCAATTTATATTTTCCATAAATAGAGTGTTCACCGAACTGAACCCTTCTGTTCTGGCCCTCTTGGGAGGCAATCAATACTATACAACAGTCTATCTTAGGTTTAAAAATTATGTTTCTGTTTTTTTAAGATGCTCTTCCAAAGACAGGGTATTTCCATGAAAATAAATTTTATTTTATTTTTTTCTTCATTCTTTCCTCAAATATCACTAGCTCTGGGGATACAGCAAATGTTTCTAAAGAGAGCAACCAAACTATTAAGCCTCAGGATAAGGTTTAATATTAATATTAGCTACATTTAAAAGTACTTGCATAATGAGGTAGTATTTCGGGGTCTTCCTCTCTCCCAAACTCTCCCCACCGTCACTAATATTGCCTAAAATAGTACATTTGAACTTCCAAGCATGTTTGAATATAAGGAGATCATAATCATCAATTTTAGTTCCTTTAGAGTTTTACAAGTGAGGTAATTGAAGTCAATAGAGGCAAAGCAGCATAGCTCATCAGAAGCTGAAGAGGCACGATGTACAGGGCATGTCAGTTATACTTGACTTAACTAAAATTTCCAACTACATGAAATTTTTCTAATCAGATTTCTTGCACAAGGATTCAATTTCAAGCCAGTGTTTTTGTGCGATGTTTGTTTATACCAGAATGACCACAGGTGGAAACAGGAGCGTTCAGATAACCCAAAGAAAAATAAATTGTACAGTGACTCATGATGTAGTCTGACAAAAGGAGATTTGCCAAATTAAAGCAATAGTAATTAATAAAGACAACTATATTAAATGTGCCAGATTCCAGAATTTTAGCTGGAAAATGTAAAAAGGATTGTTGAGTAGAAAATACAAAAAGAGAGCAGACACATAGAGAAAAGCAAGAACTCCATGGTGGAAGTAGATGTGTCATGAAAGAGAAATACCAGAAGAAGGAGAGAGAGAGAGAGCAAACATTTATTCATAGACATGCTGCTTTGGACCCTAAAGGCTTCCTGCTTCTAACACAATTCATATGGATTTTGATAACAAATTTCGTTTTTCTTATGTTGGTCCCAGTGATCCTCTTGGAACCCAAAGAGTTTAAGAAGTACATATGTAAACCAAAGCCATTTGATTTCTGTAGATATAAAAAAGATTAAACATACTCTATTCTATAACCTTTATGTATATTGACTTCTGCTTTGTCATGGTGTGTCTTTTCATTGTAGCCTTTGTTTATAATCAAACTCTTTCTTAACCCAAAACTTATATTGTGAAAGTTGAAAAGGCAGTCTATTAAAGCTAAACCTTGTCTGGTCTCTCTTTGGATTAATTACCATAACATAGAGAAAGCATATAAGACATAATATTTATTTATTTATCTATCTACTTATTTAGTTTAAATTGACAATAATTTTATATATTTATGGTGTATGATATGATGTTTTGACTTGTGAATACATATAGGTAGATTCAATCAATGTAATTAACATGTATATCACCTCACCAATTTATCATTTTACATGACCACAGTTAATATTATATTTTATATATCAAAATTTCTGAAATAAATTTTAACATTCTCCCCACAAGAAAAATTGCTTTGAAACTTACCTTAACCAACTGGCAGACTGAATCTTAGCTGGCAGTGTTTCTTTTTAATTTTGTAGTAAATGACAACATTGCCATATCAAGTTGGAAATGATAATCTTTGCTAAGACCTAAGATACAGAATTTCAAGAGTGTATAAATTTGAAGAATAGTAAGTATTTGAAGTGACTGAAGGAAAGGAGGTTGTTATAGAAGAAAGACTAGTCTCCAGTTTGTCAACTACTGTGCAAACAATGCCAATGAAGCAATACTGGTGCCATCTATGTTATTTTAAGCATTTTCTAGGAAAATGACACATTACATTCCTATGAGACTATTAATTCAAGAACTTCCACCTGCAGGTTTTAAATACAAAACAGAATTGAACAAAATAAGCCTGTATTGTCAATACCTCAGGATCTCAGTAATGATCTAGATTAGCATGGCTGATAATGAAACCCTGTAAAACTTGTTTAACTAGAGCTTTAAATGAACTTTAATTGCGCAGATTAATTGATTTTTAGAAGGAATTGCTTTTTAGAAGATGACACGCAAAAATTGATACCAGGGATTTAGTCAAAACTTCACTTTGCTACTATTCAGGGTGTCTTTCAGTTTGTTAACATTCAGACTAATCTCTTAGAAACCTTAACATAAACTTATGTATGTAAAATAACAGCATAGCCCTTTTTTCTAATAGAAAATATAGATTTTCAAATAATGCAATGTACCCGTCACAGATTATAATTTATCTCAAACAAATGTCTTCATCAATTAACAGTTTCAAAACTGCTGTCACTCAACCCAGGCCTTTGGATCTATTGATATGTGGTCTGAATTGGGTCATAAATGTAATTTTCATGTGTGACCATTAGCTTCTATGATACAAATTTTGTGTCCTCTCCAAAACTGATATGTTGAATTGTTAACCCCTAATGTGATTCTTTAGGAGGTGTGCCCTTTGGGAGGTCATTAGGTCATGAGAGTAGAGCCCTCGTGAATAGGATTAGTGTCCTTATAAAAGAGGCCTAACAGAGAAACTCATCACCCCTTCATCAGCTGAGAACACAGCTAAAAGGTGCTGTCTGTGAATCAGAAAGTGGGCCCTCAGCAGACACTGAATTTTCAAACAACTTGATGTTGGATTTCCAGCCTCAAGAATAGTGGAAAATACATTTGTGTTACTATAAGCTACCCAGTTTATAATATTTTGTTATGAATAGATAAAAACACTTAGAATGCTCATGAATTTAGCGAAGTTTACACTAGTTATGTGCCTTACACAGAGTAGGTACTTAACATGTTTGAATGAATACATTCTGCACCTTGTTTTTTCCTTAAATGCTATGTCACTTCTTCTTTCCCATAGGTTCAGAGACTACAGTTTCCTGATTAAATCTCATAGAAAGGAAGCCTCCTTAAAGAGACTAAGGACACTGACAGAGGAAATTTACCCCAAACCTTCAAACTCTGGTAGGAGCATTCACTCAATTTAAATGCCATGGTGAAAATAATGGGAATAGGGGTAGGATTAGGATGAGCAAGCATCCCAACCATCCTTGCTTGCCTGGGATTGTCTCCGTTTCAGTACTGAAAGTCCTATTTCCTGTGGATTGTCTCAATCAAGGGCAAACTAGGATGGTTGATCACGCTGGAGTTAGAGAAGCAGTGAAAAGCACAACAGCAGGAAAACTGGCAGTAGACATAGGTAGTGGCTGTTTAATGAGTATAAAGTTTCAACTATATAAGACGAGTAGTTCTAGAAATCTGCTGCACAACGTTGTGCCTACTGTTAACAACACTGTATTTTGCAGTTAAAAATCTTGTTAAAATGGTAGATATTATTAATACTTTAAGTGGTTTTAATACAAAGCAAACAAATAAAAGGGCATAAAGAAACATTTGGAAACAAAATATGTTTATTACTTTTATTGTGGTAATGGTTATAAGAATATGTCCAAACTTATCAAATTTTATACGTATCAATTTTTCTTCAAGAAATTTATTTAAAAAACAAAGTTAATTTCTCATCTTCACATAAAAAGAAACAAACAAAACTGATGGACTCAGTTTTACTCTGCTTAAACAGAAGAAATTCTCATCTTCACTATTTTGTGTGTGTGTGTGTGTGAGACGGAGTCTTGCTTTGTTGCCCATGCTGGAGTGCAGTGTCATGATCTCGGCTCACTGCTACCTCTGCCTCCCAGGTTCAAGCGATTCCCCAGCCTCAGCCTCCCAAGGAGCTGGGATTACAGGTGTGCACCACCACACCTGGCTTATTTTTGTATTTTTAGTAGAGACTGGGTTTCACCATGTTGGTCAGGCTGGTCTCGAACTCCTGACCTCATGATCCACCCACCTCAACCTCCCAAAGTGCTGGGATTACAGGTGCGAGCCACTGCACCAGGCCCATCTTCACTATTTTAAAATTTTTTGTTTAGGAGATTTCAAGGCTATGATCAAGAACCACAATATATTCTGCAAATAAGTATTTTAGGTTTCTGAATGAATGAAAGTTACAGACCCATGCATTTATTTTTTTTCTTGAACATTTATTTTTAAGTTCCCTGGTACATGTGCAGGATGTGCAGGTGTGTTATATAGGTAAACGTGTGCCATGGTGGTTTACTGTACAGATCAACCCATCACCTAGGTATTAAGCCTAGCATTCATTAGCTATTCTTCCTTATGCTCTCCCTCTGCCCACCTCCCCTGAATAGGCCCCAGTGCACCTATTGTGTCCATGTGTTCTCATTGTTCAGCCCCGCTTATAAGTGAGAAGATTTGGTGTTTGGTTTTCTGTTCCTGAGTTAGTTTGCTGAGGATAATGGCTTCCAGGTCCATCCAAGTCCCTGTAAAGAACGACATCTCATTTCTTTTTATGGCTGCATAGTATTCCATGGTGTATATGTACCATATTTTCTTTATCAAGTCTATCATTTATGTGCATTTGTGTTGATATCATGTTATTGCTATTGTAAATATGCTACAATGATCATATGTGTGCATGTATCTTTATAATAAATTATTTATATTTCTTTGGGTATATACACAGTAATGAGATTGCTGGGTCAAATGGTATTTCTGCTTCTAGACTTTTGAGAAATCACCACACTGTCTTCCACAATGGTTGAACTAATTTGCACTACCACCAAGAGTGTAAAAGTGTTCCTTTTTCTACACAACCTTGCCACCTTGCTAGTGATAGTTTCTTTGGCTGTGCAGAAGCTCCATAGTTTAATTAGATCTCATTATCAATTTTTGCTTTTGTTCCGATTGCTTTTGGATTTTCGTCATGAAATCTTTGTCTGTGCCTATGTCCTGAATGGTATTGCTTAGATTTTCTTTTAGGGTTTTTATAGTTTTGGGTTTTACATTTTACATTTAAGTCTTTAATGCATCTTGAGTTAATTTTTGTATAAAGTGTAAGGAAAGGGTCCAGTTTCAATTTTCTGCATGTGGCTAGCCAGTTCTCCCAGCACCATTTATTAAGTAGAGAATTCATTCCCATTGCTTGTTTTTGTCAGGTGTGCCAAAAATCAGATGGTTGTTGATGTGTGGTCTTATTTCTGAGTTCTGTATTCTGTTCCATTGGTCTGTGTGTCTGTTTTTGTACCATTACCATACTGTTTTGGTTACTGTAGCCTTGTAGTATAGTTTGAAGTCAGGTAGCATGATGCCTCTAGCTTTGTTCTTTTTGCTTAGGATTATCTTTGCTACAAGAGCTGTTTTTTAGTTCCATATGAATTTTAAAATAGTTTTTTTTAATTCTGTGAAGAATGTCAGTGGTAATTTAATGGAAATAGCATTAAACCTCTAAGTTACTTTGGGAAGTATGGCCATTTTCACTATATTGATTCTTTCTATCCATGAGCATAGAATGATTTTCTATTTGTGTGTGTCCTCACTGACATGGTTGAGCAGTGGTTTGTAGTTCTCCATGAAGAGGTCCTTCACTTAGCTTGTTAGTTGTATTCTTAGGTATTTTATTCTCTTTGTAGCAGTTGTGAATGGGAGTTCATTCATACTTTGGCTGTCTGCTTGCCTGTTTTGATGTATAGGAATACTAGCAATTTTTGCACATTGATTTTTTTATCCTGAGACTTTATTGAATTTGCTTATTAGCTTAGGAAGCTTTTGAGCTGAGACAATAAGTTTTTCTAGATACAGGAAAATGCCACCTGCAAACAAGGATAATTTGACTTTTACTCTTCCTATTTGAATACCCTTTATTTTCTTCTCTTGCCCAATTGTCCTGGCCAAAACTTCCAATATTATGTTGAACTGGAGTGGTGAGAGAGGGCATCCTTGTCTTCTGCCGGTTTTCAAGGGGAATGCTTCCAGCTTTGCCCATTCAGTTTAATATTTGCTGTGGGTTTGTCATATATGCTTCTAATTATTTTGCAGGATGTTCTATCAATACCTAGTTTACTGAGAGTTTTTAACATGAAGAGATGTTGTATTTTATTAAAGGCCTTTTCTGCATCTATTGAGATAATCATGTGGTTTTTTTTGTCTTTAGTTCTGTTTATGTGATGAATTAAATTTATTCATTTGCATATGTTGAACCAACCTTGCATCCCAGGGATGAAGCCAAGTTGATCACAGTGGATAAGCTTTTGGATGTGCTGCTGGATTTGATTTTCCCGTATTTTATCGAGGATTTTTGCATCAATGTTCATCAGGTATATTGGCCTAAAGTCTTCTTTTTTGTTGCATCTCTTCCAGGTTTTGGTTTTAGGATGACATTGGCCTCATAAAAATGAGTTAGGAAGGAGTCTGCCCTTTTTAATTGTTTGGAATAGTTTCAGTAGAAATGATAACAGCTCTTTTTTTCACCTCAGGCAGAATTCAGCTGTAAATCCATCTGGTGTTGGGCATTTATTGTTTGGTAGGCACTTTATTACTGCCTCAATTTTAGATCTCATTACTGCTCTATTCAGAGATTCAATTTACTCCTGGTTCAGTCTTGGGAGGGTGTATATGTCCAGGAATTTATCAACTTATTCTAGGTTTTATAGTTTATGTGCATTGAGGTGTTTGTTTATAGTATTCTCTAATGCTTATTTGTATTTCTGTGGGATCTGTGGTGATATCCTCCTTATCATTTCAGATTGTGTCAAGGTGATCCTTACATCTTTTCTTCTTTATTTGTCTAGCTACAGGTCTATTTATTTTATTAATTTTTTGAAAAGAAAACAGCTCCCCATTGATTTCTTGAAGGGTTTTTCACGTCTCTTTCTCCTTCAGTTCAGCTCTGATTTTGTTATTTCTTTTCTTCTGCTAGCTTTGGGGCTAGTTTGCTCTTGGTTCTCTAGTTATTGTAGTTGTGATGTTAAGTTGTCGATTTGATATTTTTCTAGCTTTTTGATGTGGGCATTCAGTACTATAAGTTTTTCTCTTAACACTGCTTTAGCTGCCTTTCAGAGATTCTGGTGTATTGTTTCTTTGTTCTCATTTATTTCAAATAACTTCTTTATTTCTGCCTTAATTTCATTATGCACCAAGGAGTCATTCAGAAGCAGGTTGCTCAATTTCCATGTAGTTGTGTGGTTTTGAGTGAGTTTCTTAATCTTGAGTTCTAATTTGATTGTGCTGTGGTCTGATAGACTATTATAATTTCAATTATTTTGCATTTGCTGAGGACTGTTTTATTTCTGATTATATGTTCTATTTTAGAGTAAGTGTCATGTGGTGATCAGAAGAATGTATATTCTGTTGTTTTTGGTTGGAGAGTTCTGTAGATATCTATCAGATCCACTTGATCCAGAGCTGAGTTCAGGTCCTGAATATCTTTTTAATTTTCTGTCTCGATGATCTGTCTAATATTGTCAGTGGAGTGTTAAAGTCTCCTACCATTAGTATGCAGGAGCCTAAGTCTCTTTGTAGGTCTCTAAGAACTTGCTTTATGAATCTGGGTGCTCCTGTATTGGGTACATATATATTTAGGATAGTTAGCTCTTCTTGTTGAATTGAACCCCTTACCTTTATGTAATGCCCTTCTTTGTCTCTTTTGATCTTTGTTGGTTTAAAGTCTGTTTTGTCAAAAACTAGGGCTTTGACCCTGCTTTTTTCTGTCTTCCATTTGCTTGGTCAATTTTTCCACATCTCTTTATTTTAGCCTAAGTGTGTCTTTGCATGTGAGATGGGTCTCCTGAAGACAGAATGCTAATAGGTCTTGACTATTTTTCCAGCTTGCCATTTTGTGTTTTATAATTGGGGCATTTAGCACATTTAAATTTAAGGTTAATATTGTTATGTGTGAATTTGATCCTGTCATTCTGATGCTAGCTGGTTATTTTTAGACTTGTTTATGTGGTTGCTTCATAGTGTTCCTGGTTGTTGTACTTCAGTGTGTTTCTGTAGTGGCAGGTAATGGTTTTTCCTTTCCATATTTAGTGTTTCTTTCAGGAGCTTTTGCAAAGCAGGCTTGGTAGTGACGAATTCCCTATGCACTTGCATGTCTGAAAAAGATCTTATTTCTCCTTCACTTATAAAGCTTAATATGGCAGGATAAGAAATTCTATGTTTAATTTTTTTTTCTTTAAGAATATTGAATATTGGGCCCCAATATCTTTTGGCTTGTAGGATTTCCACTGAGAGATCCACTGTTAGTCTGATGGGCTTCCCTTTGTAAGTGAAATGGCCTTTCTCTCTGGCTCCCTTTAACATTTTTTCTTTCATTTTGACCATAGAGAATGTGATGATTGTTTGTCTTGTGGTTGATCTTCTCATGGAGTATCTTACTGGGGTTCTCTAAGTTTCCTGAAATTGAACATTGGCCTGTCTTGCTAGGTTGGGGAATTTCTCCTGGATAATATTCTGAAGTATGTTTCCCAAATTGGTTCCATGCTCCTCATCTTTTTCAAGTACCCCATTCAGTTGTAGGCTCAGTCTTTTTAAATAATGCCATATTTCTCAGAGGTTTTGTTCATTCTTTTCTAATATTTTTCTATTCTTGTCTACCTGACTTATTTCAGAAAGATAGTCTTCAAGCTCTGGGATTCTTTCCTCTGCTTGCTCTATTCTGCTATGGATATTGTAATTGTACTGTGACGTTCTCAGGTTGTGTTTTTCAGCTCCCTCAGTTCAGTTATTCTCCTCTCTAAACTGAATATTCTGGTTATCAGCTCCTGTATCATTTTATCATGATTCTTAGTTTCTTTGCATTGAGTTAAGACATGCTACTTTAGCTCAGCGAAGGTTGTTATCACCCATTTTCTAAAGCCTACTTCTGTCAATATAGCCACCTTAGCTTCAACCAAATTCTGTGCCTTTGCTGGAGAGGTGTTGTTGTCATTTGGAAAAGAAGAGTCTCTGGATTTTTGAGTTTTCAGCATTTTTGCATTGATTCTTTCTCATTTTTGTGGGCTTATCTACCTTTTATCTTTGTGGTTGCTGACCTTTAAATGGGGTTTTTGTGGGGTCTTTTTTGTTCATGTTGATGTTGTTGTTGCTTTCTGTTTGTTTTTCTTTTCACACTTAGGCCACTCTTATGTAGGGCTGCTGTGATTTTTCTGGGGGTCCATTCCAGACCCTCATTACCTCAGTCCCTCAGTCCCTCCCACACCTGGAAATATCACTAGTGAAGGCTACAAAACAGCAGAGATGGCAGCATGCTTCTTTCTCTGGGAGCTCTGTCCCAGAGGAGCACCCACCTGATGCTGGCTCTAATGCTCCTGTAGGTGGTGTCTGGAGACCCCTGTTGGGAGATCTCACCCAGTCTGAAAGAATGGGATCAAGGACCCACTCAAAGAAGCAGTCTGGCTGTCCCTTGGCAGAGTGGGTACACTGCACTGGAGGAAATCGCCCTCATTCAGACTGCCTGGACTGTCTAGAGCCAGCAGGCTAGAAAGACTAAGTCAGCTAAATCACAGAGATTGCAGCTGCCCCTGCACGTAGGGGCTCCATCCCAGGGAGATATCAGGATTCTGGTCTAGACTTCTTGGACTCCCTGGACCCAGAAGGCTAGAATGGCCAACTCAAACTGCAGAGAAGGTGGCTTCCCTTACCCCTAAGAACTCAATTGGTCTCAGGCAGTCTCCAGCCTGCTGCCACTGGCCAGCTGAAATTCTAAGCCAGTGGGTCTTTTAATTTGTGAAGTGCCATGGGAGTGGGGCCTGCATAACAACACACTGTGTGGCTCCCTGGCTTCAGCCCCCTTACTAGGGGAATGCATAGATATATCCCCCACGTAGCCAGAATTCCCTGAGCCAGACTATGCAAAACTCCTGGGTCTCTGTGTGTGCCTGAGTGGCTGCTTTTCTGAGATTCTGCACGGTTTTGTGCTTCAAACCCAAGGCCCTGGTGGCGTGGGCTCACGAGGGGATCTCCTGGTCGGCAGGTCACAAAGATCCATGGGAAAAACATGGTTTCCCAAGCTGGACCTCAGAATCACTCACCATTTCCCTTGGCTGGGGATGGGGGCTCCCATGGTTCCATGCCGCTCCAGGGTTGGCCATTGCCTCACCTTGCTTTTCTTCACTTTCCGTGGGCTGAGCCATCAACCTAATCAGCCCCAATGTGAGAACCTGGATACCTAAGTTGAAAGTGCAAAATTGACTTACCATTTTCACTTATCTACCCATACACTTTATGAGACAAATTTCACTTCACTTTTCCTTTCACTCACTGAGCTCCAGTCACATTGGTCATCTTTCAGTTTCTTATACATAGCAATGTGATTCTTTTTACATATTGTTCTTAGGGCTAGAATGTCACCTTTCTTATGACCCAGTATAGTGTCTGTTACATGGTAATCATTTATTACACATGAGTTGAATAATTTTTTTGTAGAGTACATTAGCAATAGAGCAGAATGAAAAGTCCTTATACTTGTTTACCAAAAACAACAAAAACAATAAGTGACTATAAATCAAGTAAAGTCGTTCTCAGAACACTCCAGGCAACAAGGAAACAGCAGGAACCCTGTGAAGTACAAGAATAGAGGATGGTCATGTAGAAAAGAGTAGAAAAATTTTTATCAACATCAGCCCATCTCCTACTCCAGAGCAGACTGTAACTAAGAGTGATCCCCTCAATGGGATTTTCCACTTTTGGGAAGGGGAGGGAAGTACGAGAGGACATCAGCAGTCCTGTTCACCATCACAGTTACCTGCAGCTTTAGCCAGCAGGGATCCCTGAAGTTTTCATAGTGCTATGCCCAGCTGACAACTTCCCAGAATCCATGC
Source organism: Homo sapiens (assembly GCF_000001405.40). NCBI lineage: Eukaryota > Metazoa > Chordata > Mammalia > Primates > Hominidae > Homo > Homo sapiens. Next base: position 81,754,025 of record NC_000023.11, on the reverse strand, counting down.
TGCAGTGTTCCCCAACAGAGAAGGAGCCACCACTGTGTCCCCTGCTCAGGGTTAGAGCTCTCACAGGGCTGATCCATGGCCCCAGAGGCCGGAGTCACCACTGTGCTCTCCATGCAGGAATCAAAATGCCATAGCTTCTCACCATCTTCAAGACTGGAGCTGCACTGCCCTGCCCTGCAACCCATCCTTGGGGCCTGAATTTTGGCTGTTACCCAACAATACCAGGGATGTGTTGCCACTTTTCTTCACCCAACTCCCAGACCTCTGAGACATGACTTCAACCCACCATTACCAGGATGCAACAAATAGTTGCATCAGGTGGGATTTATACTTGGCATGCAAGAAAGCTTCAACATGCAAATCAATAAGTGTGATATACTGCATTAACAGAATGAAGGATAAAATTATCTGATAATATCAATAGAAAATGAGCAAGCATTTGACAAAATTTAACACACTTTCATGATAAAAATATTCAAAACACTAGGAATAAACTAAATTTACTTCACCATAACAAAAGCCACATATGAAAAACCCATAGTGAATATAATCCCCAGCAAAGAAAAACTGAAAGTTTTTATTTAAGGTAAGGGAAAAGACAGGGATGCTCACTTCTGTCACTTCTATTGAACATAGAAGTCTTAGCAAGAGCACTCAGACGAAAAACAAACTGATGACATCTTTATTGGAAAGAAAGAAATGAAATTATCTGTTTTCAGGTGATAAGACCTTTCATATGGAGCATCCTAAAGACTCCATTAAAAAGCAGTTAGAAGTAGTAAATGAACTCAGTAAAATAACAAGATACAAAATCAGCCTATAGAATCAGTTGCATTTCTATACACTAAAAACAGGTGGACTTTCCAAGAAGGTTATTAAACAAACAATCCTATTAACAGTAGCATCAAAACCAAAAGAAGGGCATGGCCCAAATCTTCATCTCTACATAGAGGAGCAACACCCCAGCAACAGAGAACAGACTGCAGAGTTGCCTACCATGGCCTGAAGAACCAAATAGAACTTCTGGAATTAAAAAAAAATTACTACAGTAATTGCAAACCTACAGGTAGAAGCCTTAACAATAGATTGGACCAAAGAGAAGAAATAATTCAAGAGCTCAAAGACTGGTATTTTGTATTAATTCAGTCAGATAAAAATGAATAATTTTTTTTAAAATAAACACAGTATTTAAAACATATGGAACTATGTAAAGTGACCAAACCTACAACTTTTTGAAATTCCTGACAGAGAAGAAAAAAAAAAGCAAGCAACATGGAAAATATATTTGAAGGTATAATTCAGAAAAATTTCCGAATCTTGCTAGAGAGGTTGACATCAAAATACAAGAAATGTAGATAAATCCTTCAAGATACTATAAAATATGACCATCCCCAAAGCATGTAGTCCTCACACTATCCCAGGTCAATGTGAAAAAATATATATATATCATATATGCAGTGAGAAAAAAAGATCAAATTACCTATAAATAAAATCCCATCAGACTGTCAGTAGATTTCTCAGCAGGATCCTTACAAACATGAAGAGATTGGAGACTCATTTTTAGCTTTAAAAAATTCCAACAAGAATTTCACTTCCGGCCAAATTAAGCTTCATAAATGAAGGATAAATAAAGTCTTTCACATACAAGAAAACAATAAGGAAATTCATCACCACCAGATTGGATCTACAATAAATGTTTAAAGGACTTCTAAATATGGAAATAAAAGGATGGTACTCCCTATGATAAAAGCACATGTAAGTAGAAAGCCCAAACACCTTATAATGCAACTACAAAATGGAATCTACAAAACAATTAGAAAACAACAAAATAACAGAAATGAAACATCACATATAAATATTAATCTTAAATGTAAACAACCTAAATACTTCACTTAAAAGATAAAGAGTAGCAAATTAGATAACAAAGCAAGACCAAACATTCTGCTGCCTTCAAAAGACCCACTTCACATATAGTGACACACATAGACTCAAAATAAAGGGAGAGAGGAAGATACATCATGCAAATGGAAAACACACACACAAAAGTAGAAGGGCACGCTATTTGTGTATCAGATAAAATAGACATTAAACCAACAATAACAAAAAGGGACAAAGAAGGGCATTACATAATAATAAAGTGTTCAGTGCAACAAGAAGATATAACTATCCTAAATATGTATACATTCAATGTTGGAGCACCCAGCTTTATACAACAATTGCTACTAGACATAAAAAAAGAAACAGCTGTAAAATAATAGTGGTAGACTTCAACACACCACTGACAGCTTTAGACAGATCATCAAGGCAGAAAATGAACAAAAAAATTTTGGACTTAAATAGAATATTTGACCAAATGGACCTGATATTGATCTAAATAACATTCCACCTAACAACCACAGAATATACATTATTCCCATCTGCACACAGAGCAGTTTGACAACATTCTTGGTCATAAGGTGATCATAAATACATTCAAAAAATCAAAATCATGCAAAGCATCTTGTTGTACCAGAGTGGAATAACAATAGAAATCAATACCAAAAGGAGTTATGAAAATTACATAAATATATGGAAACTAACCAACTTATTCCTGAATGAATTTTGGGTAAACAAAATTAAGGCAGAAATCAAAAAGTTATTTGAAACAATTGAAAATAGAAATACGACATATGAAAACCTCTGGGATATAACAAAAGCAGTGTTAAGAGAAAAGTTTATAGCACCAAAGAACTACATCTAAAAGGGAAATATCCCAAATTAATAACCTAAGGTCACAATGAAGGAACTAGACAAATGAGAACAAGCTAAATCAAACACTAGCTGAATAGAAGAAATAGTTATGATCAAAGCAGGAAGAAATAAAATTGTAATCAAATAACTATAAAAAATCAACAATCTCACTCATAAGTGGGAGCTGACCAATGAGAACACATGGACATAAGGAGGAGAACAACACACACTGGGGCCTGTCAGGGGGTGTGGGTGAAGGTAGAGCAACAGGAAAAACAGCTAATGTATGCTAGGCTTAATACTTAGGTGATAGGTTGATACTTACTTATCAATACTGAGGTTGGTAGGTGCAGCAAACCACCATGGCACACATTTACTTATGTAACAAACCTGCATACCCTACACATGTACCCCAGAACATAAAATAAAACAAAAATAGATATAGAAAATCAACAAATTGGAAAGTTCATTGTTTGAAAAGATATAAAAGATTGAGAGACTATTGGCTAAATTAACAAAGAGAGAGAGATAAAAATAAGCAAAATTAAAAATGATAAAGTTGACATTACAACTGATACCAAAGAAATACAAAAGATCCTCAGAGATTGCAAGTATGCCTAGTGGCCCATTATTGGAACAATAAGCATGTGGGAGTTATTTATATCCTACTGCTCAAGGTCGTCACCAAAGTATGATTGCAAAACTTAAAAAAATTGCAGCCTCAGGCTTAAATGGATTAATACCTCCAAAAACACAAAGAAAAAAATTGAGAGGAAATGGATAAATTCCTGGAAACAGACAAACTTCCAAAACTGAACTAGGAATAAACTGAAACCGTTAAGAGACCAAAAATGAGTTAATAAGTTGAATCAGTAATTTAAAAATGTCCTACCAAAAGAATATAGCCCTGCACCAGATAAATGGTGAGTCAAATTCTACCAGATGTACAAAGAAGAGCTGGTACCAATCTTAATGAAGCTTCCAAAAAATTAGGAGGAGGGTTTCTTTCCTATCTCATTCATTGGAGGCAGTGTAATCCTGATACCAATCCTCATACCAAAATCTGGCGAGGACACAACAAAAAAAGAGAACTACAGGCTAATATCCCTGAAAAACATAGTTGAAAAAGTCCTCAACAAAATTCTAGCAAACCACATTCAACAGTCCATCATTCAACACAATCTAGTGGGCTTTATTCCTGGGATGCAAGGATGGTTCAACGTAGGCAAATCAATAATTTTCTGTTATCACATAAACAAAATTAAAAGCAAAAACCATATTATCATCTCAATAGAAGCAGAACAATCATTTGGTAAAATTCAACCCCACTTCATAACAAAACCCTAAAAAAGCTAGACATTGAAGGAACAAACCTAAAAATAATAGCAGCCATTTATAAGAAACACAAAACAAACATCATACTGAATGGGCAACAGTTGGAAGCATTTCCTCTAAAAACTGTAACAACACAAGTTTGTCCTCTGTTACCACTCCTATTCAACACAGTACTGAAAGTGCTAGCAAGAGTAATCAGGCAAGAGAGAAAAATAAAAGGAATTTAAATATTAAAAGGGGAAGTCATATTATCTCTGCTCATTTTTGATACTATTGTAGATGTAGAATACCCAAAAGATTCCTCAAAAAAACTCCCAGATTTGATAAATTAGTTCAATAAAGTTTCAGAATAAAAAATCAATGTACAAATATGAGTATCATTTCTATACCTCAATAACATTCAAGGTGAGATCCAAATCAAGAATGCAATTTCATTTGCTGTATCTGAAAAAAAAAAGGACCTAGGAGTACCTGTAAACAATAAGGTGAAATATCTCTACAAGGAAAACTACAAAACACCGTTGAAAGAAATTATAGATAACAAAAAAAAAATGGAAAACATATTCCAACTCAGAGATTGGAAGAATTAATATCGTTAAAATGGCCATACTACCCAAAGCAATCACAGATTCCATGCTATTCTAGTCAAACTTTTTTATTATTATTATACTTTAAGTTTTAGGGTACATGTGCACAACGTGCAGGTTTGTTACATATGTATACATGTGCCATGTTGGTGTGCTGCACCCATTAACTCGTCATTTAGCATTAGATATACCACCTAATGCTATCCCTCCCCACCTCCCCCAACCCCACAACAGTCCCTGGTGTGTTCTGTTCCCCTTCCTGTGTCCATGTGTTATTGTTCAATTCCCACCTGTGAGTGAGAACATGCAGTGTTTGGTTTTTTGTCCTTGTGATAGTTTGCTGAGAATGATGGTTTCCAGCTTCACCCATGTCCCAACAAAGAACATGAACTCATCATTTTTTATGGCTGCATAGTATTCCATGATATATATGTGCCACATTTTCTTAATCCGGTCTATCATTGTTGGACATTTGGGTTGGTTCCAAGTCTTTGCTATTGTGAATAGTGCTGCAATAAACATACGTGCGCATGTGTCTTTATAGCAGCATGATTTATAATCCTTTGGGTATATACCCAGTAATGGGATGGCTGGGTCAAATCATATTTCTAGTTCTACATCCCTGAGGAATCACCACACTGTCTTCCACAATGGTTGAACTAGTTTACAGTCCCACCAACAGTGTCAAAGTGTTCCTATTTCTCCACATCCTCTCCAGCACCTGTTGTTTCCTGACTTTTTAATGATCACCATTCTAACTGGTGTGAGATGGTATATCATTGTGGTTTTGATTTGCATTTCTCTGATGGCCAGTGATGATGAGCATTTTTTCATGTGTTTTTTGGCTGCATAAACATCTTCTTTTGAGAAGAGTCTGTTCATATCCTTCACCCACTTTTTGATGGGGTTGTTTGTTTTTTTCTTGTAAACTTGTTTGAGTTCATTGTAGATTCTGGATGTTAGCCCTTTGTCAGATGAGTAGGTTGCAAAAATTTTCTCCCATTTTGTAGGTTGCCTGTTCACTCTGATGGTGGTTTCTTTTGCTGTGCAGAAGCTCTTTAGTTTCATTAGATCCCATTTGTCAATTTTGGCTTTTGTTGCCATTGCTTTTGGTGTTTTAGACATGAAGTCCTTGCACATGCCTGTGTCTTGAAGGGTATTGCCTAGGTTTTCTTCTAGGGTTTTTATGGTTTTAGGTCTAACATTTAAGTCTTTAATCCATCTTGAATTAATTTTTATATAAGGTGTAAGGAAGGATCCAGTTTCAGCTTTCTACATATGGCTAGCCAGTTTTCCCAGCACCATTTATTGAATAGGGAATCCTTTCCCCATTGCTTGTTTTTGTCAGGTTTGTCAAAGATCAGAGAGTTGTAGATATGTGGCATTATTTCTGAGGGCTCTGTTCTGTTCCATTGGTGTATATCTCTGTTTTGGTAGCAGTACCATGCTGTTTTGGTTACTGTAGCCTTGTAATGTAGTTTGAAGTCAGGTAGCGTGATGCCTCCAGCTTTGTTCTTTTGGCTTAGGATTGACTTGGCAATGCAGGCTCTTTTTCAGTTCCATATGAACTTTAAAGTAGTTTTTTCCAATTCTGTGAAGAAAGTCATTGGTAGCTTGATGGGGATGGCATTGAATCTCTAAATTACCTTGGTCAGTGTGGCCATTTTCAGGATATTGATTCTTCCTACCCATGAGCATGGAATGTTCTTCCATTTGTTTGTATCCTCTTTTATTTCATTGAGCAGTGGTTTATATTTCTCCTTGAAGAGGTCCTTCACATCCCTTGTAGGTTGGATTCCTAGGTATTTTATTCTCTTTGAAGCAATTGTGAATGGGAAGTCACTCATGATTTGGCTCTCTGTTTGTCTGTTATTGGTGTATAAGAATGCTTGTGATTTTTGCACATCGGTTTTGTATCCTGAGACTTTACTGAGGTTGCTTATCAGCTCAAGGAGACTTTGGGCTGAGACGATGGGGTTTTCTAGATATACAATCATGTCATCTGCAAACAGGGACAATTTGACTCCCTCTTTTCCTCATTGGATGCCCTTTATTTCCTTCTCCTGCCTGATTGCCTTGGCCAGAACTTCCAACACTATGTTGAATAGGAGTGGTGAGAGAGGGCATCCCTGTCTTGTGCCAGTTTTCAAAGGGAATGCTTCCAGTTTTTGCCCATTCAGTATGATATTGGTTGTGGGTTTGTCATAGATAGCTCTTATCATTTTGAGATATGTCCCATCAATACCTAATTTATTGAGAGTTTTTAGCATGAAGAGTTGTTGAATTTTGTCAAAGGCCTTTTCTGCATCTATTGCGATAATCATGTGGTTTTTGTCTTTGGTTCTGTTTATATGCTGGATTACATTTATTGTTTTGCATATGTTGAACCAGCCTTGCATCCCAGGGTTGAAGCCCACTTGGCCATGGTGCATAAGCTTTTTGATATGTTGCTGGATTCAGTTTGCCAGTATTTTATTGAGGATTTTTGCATCAATGTTAGTCAAGGATATTGGTCTAAAATTCTCTTTTTTGGTTATGTCTCTGCCAGGCTTTGGTATCAGGATGATGCTGGCCTCATAAAATGAGTTAGGGAGGATTCCTTCTTTTTCTATTGATTGGAACAGTTTCAGAAGGAATGGTACCCACTCCTCCTTGTACCTCTGGTAGAATTTGGCTGGGAATCCATCTGGTCCTGGACTTTTTTTGCTTTGTAAGCTATTAATTATTACCTCAATTTCAGAGCCTGTTATTGGTCCATTCAGAGATTCAACTTCTTCATGGTTTTGTCTTGGGAGAGTGTATGTGTCAAGGAATTTATCCATTTCTTCTAGATTTTCTAGTTTATTTGCATAGAGGTGTTTATAGTATTCTCTGATGGTAGTTTGTATTTCTATGGGATCAGTGGTGATATCCCCTTTGTCATTTTTTATTGCATCTATTTGATTCTCCTCTCTTTTCTTCTTTATTAGTCTTGCTAGTGGTCTATCAATTGTGTTGATCTTTTCAAAAAACCAGCTCCTGGATTCTTTGAATTTTTGAAGGGTTTTTGTGTCTCTATTTCCTTCAGTTCTGCTCTGATGTTAGTTATTTCTTGCCTTCTGCTAGCTTTTGAATGTGTTCGCTCTTGCTTCTCTAGTTCTTTTAATTGTGATGTTAGGATGTCAATTTTAGATCTTTCCTGCTTTCTCTTGTGGGCATTTAGTGCTATAAATTTCCCTCTACACACTGCTTTGAATACATCCCAGAGATTCTGGTATGTTGTGTCTTTGTTCTCATTGGTTTCAAAGAACATCTTTATTTCTGCCTTCATTTCGTTCTGTACCCAGTAGTCATTCAGGAGCAGGTTGTTCAGTTTCCATGTAGTTCAGCAGTTTTGAGTGAGTTTCTTAATCCTGCATTCTAGTTTGATTGCACTGTGGTCTGAGAGACAGTTTGTTATAATTTCCATTCTTTTACATTTGCTGAGGAGTGCTTTACTTCCAAGTATGTGGTCAATTTTGGAATAGGTGTGGTGTGGTGCTGAAAAGAATGTATATTCTTTTAATTTGGGGTGGAGAGTTCTATAGATGTCTATTAGGTCCACTTGGTGCAGAGCTGAGTTCAATTCCTGTATATCCTTGTTAACTTTCTGTCTCGTTGATCTGTCTAATGTTGACAGTGGGGTGTTAAAGTCTCCCATTATTGTTGTGTGGGGTCTAAGTCACTTTGTAGGTCACTAAGGACTTGCTTTATGAATCTGGGTGCTCCTGTATTGGGTGCATATATATTTAGGATAGTTAGTTTTTCTTGTTGAATTGATCCCTTTACCATTACATAATGTCCTTGTTTGTCTCTTTTGATCTTTGTTTGTTTAAAGTCTGTTTTATCTGAGACTAGGATTGCAACCCCTGCCTTTTTTTGTTTTCCATTTGCTTGGTAGATCTTCCTCCATCCCTTTATATTGAGCCTATGTGTGTTTCTGCTTGTGAGATATGTTTCCTGAATACAGCACACTGATGGGTCTTGATTCTTTATGCAATTTGCCAGTCTATGCCTTTTAAGTGGAGCATTTAGCCCATTTACATTTAAGGTTAGTATTGTTATGTGAATTTGTTATTGTTACTGTTATTTATTTTGATACTGACATTATGATGTTAGCTGGTTATTTTGCTCATTAGTTGATGCAGTTTCTTCCTAGCCTTGATGGTCTTTTCAATTTGGCATGTTTTTCCAGTGGCTGGTACCGGTTGTTCCTTTCCATGTTTAGTGCTTCCTTCAGGAGCACTTTTAGGGCAGGCCTGGTGTTGACAAAATCTCTCAGCATTTGCTTGTCTGTAAAGTATTTTATTTATCCTTCACTTATGAAGCTTAGTTTGGCTGGATATGAAATTCTGGGTTGAAAATTATTTTCTTTAAGAATGTTGAATATTGGCCCCCACTCTCTTCTGGCTTGTAGAGTTTCTGCCAAGAGGTCAGCTGTTAGTCTGATGGCCTTCCCTTTGTGGGTAGCCCGACCTTTATCTCTGGCTGCCCTTAACATTTTTTCCTTCATTTCAACTTTGGTGAATCTGACAATTATGTGTCTTGGAGTTGCTCTTCTCGAGGAGTATCTTTGTGGTGTTCTCTGTATTTCCTGAATTTGAATGTTGGCCTGCCTTGCTAGATTGAGGAAGTTCTCCTGGATAATATCCTGCAGAGTGTTTTTCACCTTGGTTCCATTGTCCCCGTCACTTTCAGGTACACCAATCAGATGTAGATTTGGTCTTTTCACATAGTCCCATATTACTTGGAGGCTTTGTTCATTTCTTTTTATTATTTTTTCTCTAAACTTCACTTCACGCTTCATTTCATACATTTCATCTTCCATCGCTGATACCCTTTCTTCCAGTTGATCGCATAGGTTACTGAGGCTTGTGCATTCGTCACATAGTTCTCGTGCAGTGGTTTTCAGCTCCATCAGGTCCTTTAAGGACTTCTCTGCATTGGTTATTCTAGTTATCCGTTCATGTAATTTTTTTTCAAAGTTTTTAACTCCTTTGCCTTTGGTTCAAACTTCCTCCCTTAGCTCAGAGTAGTTTGATCTTCTGAAGCCTTCCTCTCTCAACTCCGTCCAGCTTTGTTCCATTGCTGGTGAGTAGCTGCATTCCTTTGGAGGAGAAGAGGCGCTCTGATTTTAGAGTTTCCAGTTTTTCTGCTATGGTTTTTCCCCATCTTTGTGGTTTTATCTACCTTTGGTCTTTGATGATGGTGACGTACAGATGAGTTTTTGGTGTGGATGTCCTTTCTGTTTGTTAGTTTTCCTTCTAACAGTCAGGGCCCTCAGCTGCAGGTCTGTTGGAGTTTTCTGGAGGTCCACTCCAGACCCTGTTTGCTTGGGTATCAGCAGCGGTGGCTGCAGAACAGCGGATATTTGTGAACCGCAAATGCTGCTGCCTGATTGTTCCTCTGGAAGTTTTGTCTCAGAGGGGTACCGGGCCGTGTGAGTTGTCAGTCTGCCCCTACTGGGCGGTGCCTCCCAGTTAGGCTACTCGGGGGTCAGGGACCCACTTGAGGAGGCAGTCTGTCCATTTTCAGATCTCAAGCTGCATGCTGGGAGAACCACTACTGTCTTCAAAGCTGTCAGACAGGGACATTTAAGTCTGCAGAGGTTATTGCTGTCTTTTGTTTGTGCCCTGCCCCTAGAGGTGGATCCTACAGAGGCAGGCCTCCTTGAGCTGTGGTGGGCTCCACCCAGTTCGAGCTTCCTGGCTGCTTTGTTTACCTACTCAAGCCTGAGCAATGGCAGGTGCCCCTCCCCCAGCCTCGCTGCCGCCTTGCAGTTTGATCTCAGACTGCTGTGCTAGCAATGAGAGAGGCTCCGTGGGCATAGGACCCTCCAAGCCAGGTGTGGGATATAATCTGCTGGGGTGCCGTTTTTTAAGCCCATTGGAAAAGCGCAGTATTAGGGTGGGGGTGACCCGATTTTCCAGGTGCCATTTGTCACCCCTTTCTTTAACTATGAAAGGGAATTCCCCGACCCCTTGCTCTTCCCGGGTGAGGGGATGCCTCACCCTGCTTTGGCTCACGCAGGGTGAGCTGCACCCACTGTACTGCACCCTCTGACTGACACTCCCCAGTGAGATGAACCCAGTACCTCAGTTGGAAATGTAGAAATCACCCATCTTCTGCATCGCTCATGCTGGGAGCTGTAGACTGGAGCTGTTCCTATTCGGCCATCTAAGAATATCATTTTCCACAGAATTAGAAAAAAAAAAATAAAATGCATATGGTGCCAAAAAAAGCCTGACTAGCGGAAACATGTCTAAGGAAAGAACCAAGGTGGAGAAATCATATTACCCAACTTCAACCTATATTATATGGCTACAGTAGCCAAAACAGCATGGTCCTATTACAAAAACAGACTCATAAAGAAACAGAAAAGAAAATAGAACCCAGAAGTTGAACTGCATACCTACTGCCGTTCAACCTGTGACAAAGTTTACAAAAATTAGCTATAGGGGAAGGACTCTATATTCCATAAATGCTTGTGGGATAACTGGCTAGCCATATGTAGATGAATAAAACTAGACTCTTACCATTTACCATATAAAAAATTAACTCAAGTTGAATCAAAGACTTAAATATGAGACCTCTTACTATAAAAATCTTAGAAAAAAACCTAGAAAATGCTATTTTGGTCATCAGCCTTAGGAAAGAATGTATGACTAATTCCACAAAAGCAATTGCAAGAAAAACAAAAATTGACAAGTGAGACCTAGTTAAACTAAAGAGCTTCTCTTCTGCACAGCAAAAGAAACTATCAACAGAGAAAAAAAATCCTACAGAATAGGAGAATGTATTCATAAGCTATGCATCTAACAAAACATTAATGTCCAGAATCTATAAGAAACTTAATTCTTAAAGTAACAACCAAATAATTCCATTAACAAATGGTAAAAGGAAATAAATAAACACTTATCAAAAGAAAACATACAAGTGGCCAATAAACATCAGAAAACATGCTCCAGATCCCTAATCATTAGAGAAATGAGAATGAAAACCATAATGAAATACCACCTCACACGTATTAGAATGGCTATGATGAAAAAGTAAAAACAACAACAACAACAAAAAAAGATTGATGGCAAGGCTCAAGGCTGCATAGAAAAGGGATTGTTTATACATTGTTGATGAGAATGCAAATTAAAAAAACTTAAAAGAGAACAGAACTGCTATTTGACCTAGCAATCCCATTACTGAGTATTTCCCCAAAGGAAAATAAATTGTTCCACCTAAAAGACACAGGTACTCATATGTTTATCAGACAACCATTCACAACAGCAAAGGCAAGTAGTCAGCATAGGTACCAATCATTGGTGGATTTTCATTCATAGGATTGAAGGAAGAAAATGTAGTATTATATGTACACCATGGAATACTATGTAGACATAAAAAAGAACAAAATTATGTCTTTTGTAACAGCATAGATGTAGCTGGAGGCCATCATCACAGGAGAATTAACAAAGGAACAGAAAACGAAATACTATGTATTTTCACTGATAAGTGGAAGCTAACATTCAATACACACAGTCACAAAGATATGGACAATAAACACTGGGGACCCTGAAGTAGGGAGGGGGAGGGATAAGAGCTGAAAAACTATCCATGTGCACTACCTGGGTGACAGAATCAATTTACGCCAAACATCAGCAGCATGCATGCTGCTGTGTAACAAATATACTTGTGTAACAAATACGCATATGTACTTTCTGAATCTAAAATAACAGTTGAAAATATTTAAAAAGTCAAATTGCACACCCAAAGGGCGCAAATAGCCATAGTAATTCTAAGCAAAAAGAATGAAGCCAGAGGCATCACATTGCCTAAATTCAAACTAAACTACAACCCTATGGTAACCAAAAAAGCATGGTACTGGTACAAAAATAGACATGTAGATCAGTGAAACAAAATAGGGAACCCAGAAATAAGGCCACACATCCACAATCAATTGATCTTTGATAAAGTTGACAAAAGTTAATGGTGAGTAAAGGACACCGTAGTCAATAAATGGTGCTTGGAAAACTGGGTACGCAGATACATAAGAATGAAACCCAATGCCTACTTCTCACGATAAACAAAAATTAATTCAAGATGATTTAAATACTTAAATATAAGACCTCCTAGTATAAAAAATACTAAAAGAATGCGTAGGAAAAACCTCTTCTGGACATTGGCCTCAGCAAAAAATTTATGTCAAAGATCTCAAAAACAAATGCAACAAAAATTGACTTAACTAAACTAAAGACCTTCTACACCATGAAAGAAAATATCAACAGAGTAAACAGAGAACCTACAGAATGGGAGAAAATTATCACAGAATATGCATCTGAAAAAAGACTAATATCCAGGTTCTATAAGAAACTTAAGTAAATTAACAAGCAGCAAACATCCTTATGAAAAGTGGACAAAATACATGAGCAGACACTTCTCAAAGGAAGACATACAGGCAGTCAAGAAATATATGAAAACGTTCTCCACACCACTCTTCATCAGAGAAATGTAAATCAAAATCAGAATCAGATGTCATCTCATAACAGTCAGAAGGGCTATTACTAAACAGTCAAAAATAACAGATGTTGGTGAGGATGCAGAGAAAGGGGAATGCTTATACACTGTTTATGGAAATGTAAATGACTTCAGCCCCTGTGCAAAATAAAAAAAAAATGTATGGTACTGGCCTATAAATAGACATCATATATTAATGGAATAGAGTCAGGTCTTCCGAAATAAACTCATGCCGATAAAGATCATTTAGTCTTCCAGAAGGGGGCAAAGAATATACCGTTAGGAAATGATAGTCTCAATTTGGATATTTCTCAAATAACTAAAAATAGAATTGCCATTTAACTCAGCATGTCCACTACTGGGTATCTACACACACTAGAAAAATTCCATTAAAAAGTCATCTGTACTTGTATGTCTATCACAGCACTACTTACAATAGCAAAGCCACAGAATCAACCCAGATGCCCATCAATGGTGGATTGGATAAAGAAAAATTTTTGAACATATACACCACAGAATATGATGCAACCATCAAAATGAATAAACTCATGTTCTTTGCAGCAATATGAATGCAACTGGATGCCTTTTTCCTATGTGTATTGATGCAGAAACAGAAAATCAAATACTACATTTTCTTACTTATAAGTGTGAGCTAAAACTGGATGTAAATTTATAAAAATGGAAAAAATAAACACTGGGGGAAAGGAAGGAAGGAGGGGGAAAGGCAAAGATTGAAAAACTGCCTGTTGGGTACTATGTTTACTATCTGGATGATGGATTCAATAGAAGCTTAAAGACCAGCTTTACACAGTCTATTTATGCAATAAACTTGCCCATGTATTCCCTGAATCTAATTTAAAAAAAAACTTAGATATAGTTGTAATAAAAAGGTGGAATATCTGTACTTTGAAAACTACAAAACATTAGTAAAATAAACTGAAAACAGAAGTAAATAAAAGGAAAAACACAGTGTTCATGAATTGGAAGAATTGATAGTTAATATGCCTATACTGTCCAAAGTGATCAGTAGATTTCATGCAATTCCTATCAAAATTCTTATGATATAGAAAAAGAAATCTGAAAAAAAGTATGAAGCCACAAAAATCTCTGAATAGCTAAAGCAGTATTAAGAAAGATTTCAGCGTTGTTAATAAGAACAAAGCTGCAAATCTCAAAATTGCTTTGCACAGGGGCTATTCTTGAGAAAGAACAAAGGAGAAAGCTTCACGCTTCCAGATTAAAAACTCTATTACATAGCTATAGTCATAAAAAGTATGGTACTGGCCTATAAATAGACTTATGTACCAATGGAACAGAATCAGGACTTCAGAAATAAACCCATACAGATAAAGGTCATCTGATCTTCCAGGAAGGGGACAAAGAACACACTGTGAGGAAATGATTATCTCCTCAATACATTGGTATTGGGGAAAACAGTGTCCACATGCATGAACATGGGGAAAACAATATTCACAGCGAAACTGGACCCTTTTCTTACATAATACACAAAAATCAACTCAAAATGGATTAGACATAAACGTAATATCTGAAAATGTAAAACTTCTGGGAGAGAAGATAATAAATACAGTCCCTGATCCATTATTGGCTTTCAACATGATTTCTTTTTTTAACTTTTATTTTATGTTTGGGGGTACAAGGACAGGTTTGTTACATAGGTAAACTTATGTCATGGAGGTTTGTTGTGCAGATTATTTCATCAACCGGGTTTTAAGCCAAGTAACCATTAGTCATTTTTCCTGATCCTCTCCCTCCTCCCACCCTACACACTCTGAAAGGCCCCAGTGTGTGTTGTTCTCCTCTGTGTATCAATCTGTTCTCATTATTTAGCTCCCACTTATAAGTGAGAATGCGAGGTATTTCATTTTCTGTTCCTGCATTCATTTGCTAAGAATAATGGTCTCTAGCTCCATTCATCTCCCTGCAAGGGACTTACCCTCATTCATTTTTTATGGCTGCATAGTATTCAACGGTGTGTATGTACCACATTTTCTTTATCAAGTCTATCATTGATGGGTATTTAGGTTGATTCCATGTTTTTTTCTATTGTGACTAGTGCTGCAATGAAGATGTGCATGCATTTGTCTTTATAATAGAATGATTTATATTCCTTTGCGTATATACCCAGTAATAGGATTGCTGGGTCAAATGGTATTTCAGTCTTTATGTCTTTGATACAATCAACAATCATATGACAAAAAAATCTAAACATCACTGATTATTAGAGAAATGCAAATCAAAACTACAATGAGATAAAATCTCACACCACTCAGAATGACTATTATTAAAAATTAGGAAAATAACAGATGTTGGTGAGGTTGTGGAGAAAAAGGAACACCTATAAACTGTTGGTGGGGCTGTAAATTAGTCAACCATTGAGAAAGACAGTGTAGAGATTCCAGAAATGACTTATTTCGATGTGACGCCAAACTCACAGATAAGAAAAGCAAAAGTAAGCAAATGGGACTACATCAAACTAAAAACCTTCTGCACAGCGAAGGAAAAGGCAACCTACATAATGGGTGAAAATATTTACAAGCCATATATTTAATAACAGGCTAATATCCAAAATATATTAGAAACTCATAATAGTCAACAGCAAAATAAAATTCCAATTAAATATGAGCAGAGGCCAGGCATGGTGGCTCATGTCTGTAATCCCAGCACTCTGGTGGGCAGATCACTTCAGGCCAGGAGTTCGAGATGAGCCAGGCCAACATGGCAAAACCCCATCTTTACTAAAAATACAAAAAATTAGCCAGGCGTGGTGGCACACGCTTGTAATCCCAGCTGCCAAGGAGGCCAAGGCGTGAGAATGGCTTGAACGCAGGAGGCAGAGGTTGCAGTGAGCCAAGGTTGCACCACTGCCATCAAGCCTGGGCGACAGAGTCGTACCCTTTCCCCAACAGACAATTTTTCAGAGAAAACATGCAAATGGCCAACAGGTCAGAGAACTGCAAATCAAACCATCACGTAAATGCAAATCAAAACCACAATGAGAAACCATCTCACATGTGTTAGATTGGCTACTATAAAAATGAGAAGAGATAACAAGTGTTAGTGAGAATTTGAAGAAAACCCTTGTACACTGTTGGTAGGAATGCAAACTGGATCAGGCATTATGATAAACAGTATGAGGCTTCCTTAAACAATTAAAAATATAACTCCCACGTGATCCAGCAATCCCAGTTCTGGGTATTTATCTGAAGAACATAAAATTAATATGTCAAAGAGATATAGGCACTTTCATGTTCATTGAAGCATTATTAACAATAACCAAGATATGAAAAGCACTTAAGCATCTATGGATGGATGAATGTATAAAATAATTGCAGTGTATACATAAACAATGGATTAGAATTTGGAGGATATTATACTTGGAGGATATAGTTTCCTTTTTTTTTTTTTTTTTTTTTGGAAGTGGAGTCTCACTCTGTGCCCAGGCTAGAGAGCAATGGCACAATCTCGGCTCACTGCAACCTCTGCCTCCCAGGTTCAAGTGGTTGTCCTGCCTCAGCATCCTGAGTAGCTGGGATTACAGGCACGCGCCACCACGCCCAACTAATTTTTGTCTTTTTAGTAGAGACGGGGTTTCACCAAGTTGGTCAGGTTGGTCATGAACTCCTGACCTCAAGTGATCCACCCACCTTGGCCTCCCAAAGTGCTGGGAATACAGGCGTGAGCCACTGTGCCCAGCCAAGCATATTATTTCACTCATTATATGTAAGTGAAATAAATGAGAGCCAGAAAGAAAAACATTGCATAATCTCATTTATATGTGAAATTTAAAATAACCAACCTTCCATAAATAGAGAGTGGAATGGTGTTTTCTAGGGGATCTTGGGTGGGGAAAATTAGGAGATGTCGGTTAAAGGATACAAACTTTCATTTATAAGATAATTTCTAGAGATCTGATGAACATCATAGTAACTATAGTTAATAATAATGTAATATAGACTTAAAATTAACTAAAAGGAATAGATACTAACTGTCCTTATCCTACTCCCCTACACACATATATACACGAACAGGTAAATATGCCAGATGATGTACATGTTAATTAGATTGATTTGGGAAATCATTACACAGAGAATACTTGCATAAAAACATCATGTAGTACCTTATAAATATATACATTTTTATTTGCCAGTCATACCTCAATAAACCTAGAAAGAGTTACAAAATCTTTAGAAGGATGATAAACTCAGAGTAAAAGAGCTGTTAAGGTGTAAAAATAAAAAATTATTAAAAATACACTTCTAGATACTTTATACAAAAATTTAAAAATTAATCATATACAATGTGAAAAAAACACATATGTAACGAATATGAGAACACCAAATTCAGTTTCTTTTACTATACTTTCACAGAACACTTCTGTGACCTCAAATTTGTGGGGAGTTTCCTCATAACACCAAGCAATTTTGTAGATGAATTCTCCAGCAGACACCAGTTGGGTGTCCTCTAATTTAACTCAGTTCTGACACTATCTACCTAGAGGTGGTGCTTTTGATTGATCTTGTGCTTCTGACTGATTCATGAATTTCTTCTTGGGTTTAATTAATTTTCTACAGTGGTTCACAGAATCAGGGGAACATTTTATTTAAATTTTCCCATTTACTATAAAAGTATTACAAAGGATGCAGATGAACAGCCAAATGTAAGAGATACATAGGGCAAAGTATGGGAGAAGGACCACTGAGCTTCCATGTTATCTTTGGTTGTATCAACCTCCAGGAACCTTCACATATTTAGCTATCCAGAAGCTTCTAAGACTCAGTTCTTTTTAACTTTTTTTTTTTTTACTTTTTAATTTTTCTGTGTACCTAGTAGGTGTATGTATTTATGGGGTACATGAGATATTCTGATACAGGCAGGCAATGTAAACTAAGCCCATAATAAAGAATGGGGTGTCCAGTTCCTCAAAGATTTATCCGTTGAGGTGCAAACAGTCCAATTCTACTCTTTAAGTCATTTTAAAATGCACAATTAAGTTATTGACTATAGTTACCCTGTTGTGATATCAAATTATTTTTGTACCTATGAACCATCCCCATCTCCCCTCCCACAGAACCCCACTACCCTTCCAAGACTCTTCTTGGAACCATTCTTCTACTTTCTATATTCATGAGTTAAATTGTTCTGAATTTTAGATCCCATGAATTTTAGATTCCATGAAAAAGTGAGAACATGTAATGTTGATTTTTCTATGTCTGGCTTATTTCACTTAACATAATAATTTCCAGTTCCATCATGTCATTGCAAATGACTGTATCTCATTCCTTTTTATAGCTATTGTAAACAGTGCTGCAGCAAACATAGTAATGCAGATATCTCTTCGATATACTGATTTTCTTATTTTGGCTATATACCCAGAAGTGGAAATGCTGGATCATATGGTAGATCAATTTTTAGTTTTTTGAGGAACCTCCAAACTGTTCTCCATAGTGGTTATACTAATTTAAATTCCCAACAGTGTACAAGGGTTTCCTTTACACCATATCCTTGCCAGCATTTGTTATTGCCTGTCTTTTGGATGTGAACCATGTTAACCGGGGTGAGATAATATCACATTGTAGTTTTGATTTGCATTTCTTGATGACCAATGATGTTGAGCAACTTTTCATGTCTGTTCACTCTGTTGATCATTTCTTTTGCTGTGAAAAAGCTTTTTAGTTTAGGTAAATTTTGTTTGTCTATTTTTGTTGTCACATTTTCTTTTGATGTGTTAGTCATGAGTTATTTGCCTAGGCCAATGTTTGGAAGAGTTTCTCTTAGATTTTATTCTAGTATTTTTATAGTTTCATGTCTTACTTTTAAGTCTTTAATTCACCTTGAGTTAATTTTTGCATATAGTGTGAGATGGGTTCTAGTTTTATTCTTTTTCATATGGAATCTAATTTTCTCAGGACCATTTATTAAATATGATGCCCTTTCCCTAGTGTATATTTTTGTTAATTTTTTCAAAAACCAGTCAACTGGAGGTATATGGCTTCATTTCCAGATTATTTATTCTGTTTCATTGATCTATGTGTCTATTTCAATACCAGTACCATGTTCTGTTGGTTAATACAGCATTGTAGTATAAAAATTAATTTATTTTAATTGCAACATCATAATTGTGTATATTTATGTGGTACTATGTGATTTTTTTTGAGACAGGTTCTTACTCTGTCACCAGGCAGGCTGGAGTACAGTGGTGCAATCATGGCTCACTGCAGCCTTGACCACCTGGGCTTAAGTGATCTTCCTACCTCAACCTTCCAAGTAGCTGGGACCACAGGCATGTGCCACTATTTTTTTTTTTTTTTTTTTTTTTTTGAGACGGAGTCTCGCTCTGTCGCCCAGGCTGGAGTGCAGTGGCGGGATCTCGGCTCACTGCAAGCTCCGCCTCCCGGGTTCACGCCATTCTCCTGCCTCAGCCTCCCAAGTAGCTGGGACTACAGGCGCCCGCCACTACGCCCGGCTAATTTTTTTGTATTTTTAGTAGAGACGGGGTTTCACCGTTTTAGCCGGGATGGTCTCGATCTCTTGACCTCGTGATCCGCCCGCCTCGGCCTCCCAAAGTGCTGGGATTACAGGCGTGAGCCACCGCGCCCGGCCCATGTGCCACTATTCTAATCTAATGTTTTAATTTTTTGTAGACAGGGGTTGTATTAGTCGGGGTTCTTCAGAGGTATGGAACTAGTAGGATATATTTATATATGGGAGTTTATTAGGGGGAATTGGCTCACATGATTACAAGGTGAAGTCCCACGATAGGCCATCTGCAAGGTGGGAAAGAGAGGAGTTGGTAGTGGCTCAGTCCAAATATGAAAGCCTCAAACCTGGGAAGCTGACAGTGCAGTCTTCAGTCTGTAGCCAAAGGCTGGAGAGTCCCTGGCAAGCCACTGGTGCAAGTTCCAGAGTCCAAGGCCAAAGTACCTGGAGTCTGATGTCCAAGGACAGGAGGACCTGAAGGAAGCATTCAGCATGAGAGAAATAAGGCAGCCAAAAGATTCAGAAAGCAAGGTTATCCCAACTTCTTCTGCCTGCTTTGTTCTAGCTGTGCTGGCATCTGATTGGATGATGCCCATCCACATTGAGGGTGGGTCTTCCTATCCCAGTCTAGTGACTCAAATTTCAGTCTCCTCTGGCAACACCCTCCCAGACACACCCGGAAATAATACTTTAATAGCTATCTGGGTATCCTTCAATCCGATCAAGTTGCCACCTAATATTAATCATCACAGGGTTGTCTTCCTATGTTGCCCAGGCTGGGCTTGAACTCCCGAGCTCAAGTGATCCTCCCACCTCAGCCTGCCAAAGTGCTGGGATTACAGGCATGAG
The DNA here is from genome assembly GCF_000001405.40 of Homo sapiens. Classification (NCBI taxonomy): domain Eukaryota; kingdom Metazoa; phylum Chordata; class Mammalia; order Primates; family Hominidae; genus Homo; species Homo sapiens. Next base: position 81,733,503 of record NC_000023.11, on the reverse strand, counting down.
CCACCGTGCCTGGCCCCATGTAATGTTTTGTTCCGTTTATACATTGTAGAAAAGTTAATCCACCTAATTAACATATCCATTACCTCACCAATTTATGTTTTTGTAGTGACAAAGTTAAAATATGTGATTTTACTGATCTAAAAACAACTTAATACTACTTGCACAATCAAAAACAAAATTAATAAACACCCTACACCTTATTTTTGCTCCTCTGCTGTTTAACATTTTTTTGTTTGTATTCATATATTATTGTGCTATGTCTTGCTAAGTTGTTGTATTTGTTGTTTTTGATTGGTTCATTGCTTATGCTTAGGATAAGAGTAGTTTACACTTCACAGTTACAGTGTTATAATATTCTCTGTTTTTCAGTTAACTGTTTCCAGTGAGTTTTGTACCTTCAGATGATCATTTGTTGCTCATTAATGTCATTTTCTTTCTCATTGAAGTAATCCCTTTAGCATTTTTTCTAAGATAGGTCTAATGTTAATAAAATCCCTCAGTTTTTTTTTTTCTGGGAAAGTCTCCATTTCTTCTTCAGGTTCAAAGGATATATTTTGCCAGATATACTATTCTAGGGTAAAAGCATTTTTCCTTTAGCACTTTAAAAATTTCATGCTGTTCACTCCTGACCTGCAAGGTGTCCACTGAAAATTCTTCTGCCAAATGTGTTGGAGCTCCTTTGTATGTTATTTGTTTCTTTCTTTTTTTTTCTTGCTGCTTTTAGAATCTTTTCTTTATTCTTGACTTTGGAAGCTTGGTTATTAAAGGCCTTGAGGTAGTCGTTTTTGGGTTAAGTCTGATTGGTGTTGTATAATCTTCTTGTACTTGAATGTTGATATTATCTTTCTCTAGGTTTAGGAAGTTCTTTGTTATTATCTGTTTGAACAAATTTTCTATCCCTGTTTTTTTCCTCCATCTCCTCTTTTAAGGTCAATAACCCTAAAAAAACTTCTATTTTAGTTTTAAGGGTATACATGTGAAGTTTTGTTATGTAGGTAATCTTAGGTCATCGGGGTTTGCGGCAAAGAGCATTTTATCACCCTGGTGTTAAGTCCAGTACCCTATAGTTATACTTTCTGCTTTTCTCCCTCCTCCCACCCTCCACTCTCAAGTAAACTCCAGTGTCTGTTGTTACCTTTGTTTCGTTCATGAGTTCTCACTATTTAGCTCCCTAAGTGAAAAAATGCAATATTTGGTTTTCTGTTGCTGCATTAGTTTGCTAAGAATAATAGCCTATAGCTCTATCCATGTTCCTACAAATGACACGTTCTTGTTTTTTTAAATGGTTGCATTGTATTTTATGGTGTATATGTACCACATTTTCTTTATCCAATCTGTCATTGATGGGCATTTAGGTTGATTTCATGTCTTTGTTATTGTGAATCGTGATGCAATGAATATTTGCATACATGTGTCTTTGTAGTAGAATGATTTATATTCCTCTGGGTATATAGCCAGTAATGGAATTGCTGGGTCAAATGGTAAATTATTCTTTTAGCTCTTTCAGGAATTGCCATATTTCTTTCTGCAAGGGTTGAACTACTTTACACTCCCACCAAAAGGGGATAAGCAATCCTTTTCCTCCACAACCTTAGCAGCATCTGTTATTTTTTCGACTTCGTAGTAATAGCCATTGTGACTGGTGTGAGATGGTATCTCATTGTGGTTTTGACTTGTATTTATCTGATAATCAGTGATATTGAGCTTTTTTATATGCTTTTTAGCTCTATGTATGTATTCTTTTGAAAAGTGTCATTTGATCACTTTTAAATGGAGTTGCTTGTTTTGCTCTTGTAAATTTGTTTAAGTTCCTTATAGATGCTGGATATTAGACTTCTGTCAGATGCATAGTTTGCAAATATACTCTCCCATCTGTAGCTTGTTTATTTACTCTGTTGATAGTTTATTTTCTTGTGCAGAAGCTCTTACTTTAATTAGAACCCATTTTTAAATTTTTGCTTTTGTTTCAATTGCTTTTGCTGTTTTTGTCATAAAATCTTTGCCTATTTCTGTGTAGAAGATGGTGTTGCCTAGGTTGTCTTCCAGGGTTTTTATAGCTTTGAGTTTTACATTTAAGTCTTTAATCTATCTTGAGTTAATTTTTGTATATGGTGTAAGGAAGGGGTCCAGTTTCAATCTTATGCATATGACCATCCAGTTTTCTCAGCACTATTTATTGAACATAGACCATTTTCTCATTTTTATCACCTTTTTAAAAGATCAGGTGGTCATAGGTGGGTGGCCTTATTTCTCTTCTCTCTATTCTGTTCCTTTGATCGATGTGTTGATTTTTGTACCAGTACTATGCTGTTTTGGTTACTGTAGCCCCGTACTATAGTTTGAAGTCAGGTAATGTGATGCCTCCAGCTTTTTCTTTTTGCTTAGGATTTCCTTGATTATTGAAGCTCCTTTTTGGTTTCATGTGAAACTTTAAAATATTTTTTTTCTAGCTCTGTTAAGAATCTTGTTGGTAGTTTGATAAGAATAGCATTTAGTTTGCAAATTGCTTTGGACAGTGTGGTCATTTTAATTATATTGATTCTTCATATCCATGGACATGGGATGTATTTCCCTTTGTTTGTGTCTTCTCTGATTGCTTTGAGAAGTGTTTTATAAGTCTCATTGTAGAGATCTTTCACTTCCCTGGTTAGATGTATTCCTACATATTTTATTTTTTGTGCATGTGGAAATTGTGAAAGGATTTCCTTCCTGATTTGGCTGTCAGCTTGGCTGTTGATGGCATATAGGACTGTGTATTAGTCTGTCCTCAGGCTGCTAATAAAGACATAGGTGAAATTGGGTAATTTATAAAGGAAGGAAGTTTAATGAACTCAAAGTTCCACATGGCAGGGGAGGCCTCAAAATCATGGCAGAAAGTAAAGGAGAAGCAAAGGCAATTCTTACATGGTGGGAGGCAAGAGAGCTTGTGTAGGGAAATTCCCCTTTATATAGCAATCAGACCTTATGAGACGTATTCACAATCCCAATAACAGCACAGAAAAGATCTGCCTCCATGACTTAATTACTTCCCAACAGTTCCCCACATGACATGTAGGAATTATGGGAGCTAGGATTCAAATTGAGATTTGGATGGGGACACAGTCAAACCACAGTATTCCATCCCTGGCACCTCCCACATCTCATATTTTCATATTTCAAAACTAATCATGTCTTCCCAACAGTCCCCCAATGTTTTAACTCATTTCATCATTAACTCAAAATCCACAGTCCAAAGTCTAATCTAAGACAAGGCAAGTGTTATGAGCCTGTAAAATCAAAAGCAAGTTAGTTACTTCCTAAATACAATGGGGGTAACAGGCATTAGGTAAATGTACCCATTTCAGATGGGAGAAATTGGCCAAAATGAAGGGACTACAGGCCTAATGCAAGTCTGAAGTACAGCAGGGCAGCCAAATCTTAAAGCTCTAAAATGATCTCCTTTGACTCCATGTCTCACATCCAGGTCAAACTGATGCAAGAAGTGGGCTCTCATGGCCTTGGGCAGCTCTGCCCCTGTGGCTTTGCAGAGTACAGCCTCAATCCCAGCTGCTTTCATGGGCTGGTATTGAGTGTCTGAGGTTTTTCCAAGGGCACAGTACAAGCTATCAGTGGATCTACCATTCTGGGGTCTGGAGGATAGTGGCCATCTTCTCACAGCTCCACTAGGCAGTGCCACAGTGGGATCTCTCTGTATGGGCTCCAATCCCACACTTCCCTTCTGCACTGCTGTAACAGAGGTTCTCTATGAGGGCTTCACCCCTGCAGCAGATTTTGGCATGGACATTCAGGCATTTGCATGCATATCCTGAAATCTAGGCAGCAGTTTCCGAACCTCAATTCTTTACTTTTGTGCACCCACAAGGCAGACACCACATGGAAGCCAACAAGGCTTGGGGCTTGAACCATCTGAAGCAACAGCATGAGCTCTACATTGGACCCTTTTAGCCACAGCTAAGAAGCAGGTCACAAAGTCCCGAGATTTGACAAAGCAGCAAGGCCCTGGGCCTGACTCATGAAACCATTTGTTCCTCCTAGGCCTCCAGTCCTGTGGTGCGAGGGTTTGTTGTGAAGAGCTGTGACATAACCTGGACACATTTTCTCCATTGTCATGGTGATTAATGTTTGGCACTTCGTTACTTATGCAACTTTCTGCAGCCAGCTTAAATTTCTCCTCAGAAAATGAATTTTTCTTTTCTATCACATCATCAGGCTGCAAATTTTCTGAACTTTTATGCTCTGCTTCCTTTTAAATGTAAGTTCCAATTCCAAGCCATATCTTTGTGAATACTTTAAACTGAATGCTTTTAATAGCACCCAAGTCACATTTTGAATGCTTTGCTGCTTAGAAATTTGCTCCACCAGTTGCCCTAAATCATCTCCCTCAAGTTCAAAGTTTCACAAATCTCTAAGGCAAGGGCAAAATGCTGCCAGTCGGTTTGCTAAAACATAGCAAGAGTCACTTTTGCTTCAGTTTCCAACAAGTTTCTCATCTCCATCTGAGACCACTTCAGCCTGGACTTTATTGTCATTATCACTAACGGCATTTTGGTCAAAGCCATTCAGCAAGTTTCTTGGAAGTTCCAAACTTTCCCACATCTTCCTGTCCTCTTCTACGCTTTTCAAACTGTTCCATCTTTTGCCTGTTACCCAGTTTCAAAGTTGCTTCCACATTTTTGGATATCTTTATAGCAACACCCCACTCCCAGTACCAATTTAATGTATTAGTTGGTTATCACACTGCTAATAAAGATACATTTGAGACTTGGTAATTTATTTTAAAAAATAATGGTTTAATGGACTCATAGTTCCACATGGCCAGGGAGGCCTCACAATCATGGAGGGAGACAAAGGAGAAGCAAAAGCCCATCTTACATGGCATCAGGCAAGAGAGCTTGCATAGGGAAACACTGCTTTGTAAAACCATCAGATCTCGTGAGGCTTCTTCACTAACACAAGAACAGCACAAGAAAGACCCACCCCTGTGATTTAATTACTTTCCACTGGGTCTCTCTCATGACGTGGGAATTATGGGAGCTACAATTCAAGATGAGATCTGAGTGGGGACACAGCCAAACTGTGTCAGACTGCTAGTGACATTTGTATCTTGTCATTGGATCTTGCAGCTATGCTGAGGAGCTTTTGTTTGTTTGTTTGTTTGTTTCACCTGAAGAAACTTTTGGGGTTTTCCAGAATAGAATCATGTCATCTACAAACTGGGATAGTTTGACTTCCTCTCTTCATATTTGGGTGGCCTTTATTTCTTTCTCTTGCCTGATTGCTCTGGCTAAAACTTCCCATACTATGTTAAACAAAAGTGGTGAGAGAGGGCATCATTGTCTCTTGCAGGTTTCAAGGGGAATGCTTTCACCTTTTGCCCATTCACTATGCTGTTGGTTGTGGGTTTGTCATAGATGCCTCTTATTATTTTGATGCATTTTTAATACCTAATTTATTGACAGTTTTTAACATAAAAAGGTTTTGAATTGTATCAAGTCTTTTTTGCATCTATTGAGATTATCATGTGGAGCTTGTCATAAGTTCTGATTATGTGATGAATCATGTTTATTGGTTTGTGTATGTTGAATCAATCTTGCATCTCAGGGATGAAGCCTACTTTATTATAAATTAGCTTTTTGGATTAGCTTCTTGATGTGCTGCTAGATTTAGATTGCAAACATTTCATTGAGCGTTTTTGCAAGAATATTGTCCCGTGGGGTATTTTTGTCACTGTTGTGATGTCTCTGCTGGGTTTTGGTCTAAGGGTAATGCTGGCCTCATAGAATGAATTGGAGAAGAATCCCTCCTCCTCATTTTTTTGGGATAATTTCAGTAGGAATAATACCAGGTCTTCTTTATACATCTGGTAGAATTTGACTGTAAATCTATAAGATCTTGGGCATTTTTTGATTGGTAAGCTATTTGTTACTGAATCAATTTCAGAGCTTATTACTGGTCTGTTCAGGGCATCAGTTTCTTATTGGTTCAGTCTAAGGAGGATGCGGATTTCCAGAAATTTAGCCATCTCCTATAGGTTTTCCAGTTTATGTGCATAGAGGTGTTCATGGTGGTTTCTGATGGATCTATTTGGTCCAATATTGAGCTCAGATCCTGAATATATTTATTAATTTTCTGCCTCAATGATCTCTCTGATACTGTCAGTGTAGTATTGAAGTCTCTCACTATTATTGTGTGGGAGTTTATGTCTCTTTGTAGATCTCTAAGGTCTTTCTTTATAAATCTGTGGGATCCTGTGTTGGGTGTATAGAGATTTAGCATAGATAAGTCTACATGTTGAATTGTACTTTTTATCATTATGTAATGTCCTTCTTTGTCTTTTTTGATCATGGTTGAAGTCTGTTTTGTCTGAAATTAGGATGTTAACCCTTGCTTTTATTCTGTTTTTCATTAGCTTGGTAAACTTTTCTCCATTCTGTTATTTTGAGCCTATTGGTGTTATTACGTGTGAGATGAGTCTCTTAAAGGCAGCATAACATTGAGTCTTGCTTTTTTTTATCCAGTTTGCCACTCCTTGCCTTTTAAGTTAGGCATTTAGCCAATTTACATTTAAGGTTAGTATTGATATGTGTAAATTTGATTTTGTCATTGTGTTGTTAGATAATTATGCTGGCTTGTTTTTGTGGTTGCTTTATAATGTCACTTGTCTGTGTATTTAAGTGTGTTTTTCTATTAGCTGGTAGTGGTCTTTCCCTATTTAGTACTCCTTTCAAGATCTCTTGTAAGGCAGGTCTGGTGGGAAAAAAATTTGCTTATCTGAAAAAGATCCTATTTCTCCTTCACTTATGAAGCTTAGTTTGCCTTGATATAAACGTTTTGATTGAATTTTTTTTTTAAGAATGTTGAATATACACCCCATTTCTCTTCTGGTTTGTAGCATTTCAGCTGAGAGATCTGCTGCTAGCTTAATGGGGTTCCCTTTTAAGGTGATCTTCCCTTTTTCTTTAATTGGCTTCAACATTCTGTCTGTTATTTTGACCTTGCGAATCTGTTGATTATATGCATTGGGGATGATCTTCTTGTGTAGAATCTTGCAGGAGTTCTCTGCATTTTCTGAATATGACCATTGTCTTCTCTAGCAAGGTTGGGATAGTTTTAACGGATGATATCCTAAGATACGTTTTCCAAGTTGTTTGCTTTGTCCTCCTCCCTTTCAGGGATACCAGTGATTCATAGAATTGATCTCTTTATATAATCCCCTATTTCTCAGAGGCTTTGTTAATTCCTTTTTATTCTTTTCTTCAATAACTTTTGGATTTGCCCTTTTGAGACTATTTTCTAGATCCTATAGGTTTGATTCGTTGTTTTTACTTCCTTTTTTCTTTTGTCTCTTCTGAATGTATATTTCCAAAGAGCCTGTTTTCAAGCTCACTAATTCTTTCTTATGATTGATCCATTATGTTATTAACAAACTCTGATGCATTGTTTCATGTGCCAATTACGTTTTCCCACGACAGAATTTCTGTTTGAATTTTTAAATTTTAATCTCTTATTAAATTTATTAGATAGAATTCTAAATTCCTTCTCTGTGTTATCTTGAATTTCTTTGAGTTTTCAGAGCACAGCTATTTTGAAATATCTGTATGAAAGGTCACATGTCTCTGTTTCACCAGGATTGGTCTCTTTTAGCTCATTTAGATCATTTGGTGAGGTACTGTTTTCCTGGATTGTGATGATTCTAGTAGATGTTCTACAGTTTCTGAACGTTGTAGATATTTACTGTAGTCTTTACTGTCTGGGATTGTTTGTATGTATCCTTCTTGGGAAGGCTTTCCAGATATTTTAAAGGACTTGGGTTTTGTGATCTATGCTGTATCTGCTTTAGAGAGCAGCCTAAGCTCAGTAATGGTGTGGTTCTTGTAGACTCAGACATACCATGTTCATGACCTTGAACAAGGTCCAGATAATTATCTGGATTACCAGGCAGAGATGACTGTACTCTTCTTTCACTTTATCCCAAAAGTAAAGAGTCTCTCTCTGTTCTGAGCCACCTAAAGCCAGAGATGGAGCGACATAAGACACCCCTGTGGCCACTACTGCTATGACTGAGCTGAGTCAGACCAGAAGCCAGCACAGCACTGGACCTCACCCAAGGCCTGCTGTAGCAACTTCCTGGCTATTGCCTATGTTCACCCAAGGCCCTGGGGTTCTAAAATCAGCAGGTGGGAAAGCCAGCAAGGCCTGTTTCCTTCCCTTCAGGGAGGTACTGTCCCCCAGGCCTCATGTGAGTCCAGAGTTGCCATGCAGGAGTTAGAGACTAGAGTCAAAAACCTTAGAAGTCTAACTGTTTTTCTATTATTTTGCAGCTGAGCTGACCCTGAAACAAAAAGATGCAGTGTTTCTCACTTTTCTCTCCTCTTTCCAAAGGTAGTCACTGCCACTCCAGACCATGAGAAGTACTGTCAGTTTACTCCTGATGTTCCTTTAAAGCCGAGGGTCTTTTAAGTCAGTTTGTCATGAATACTGCCTGGCCTGGGACTCACCCTTCAGGGCAGTGGGCTCTCCTCTGTCCCATAGCAGATCCAGAAATGCCATACAAGAGTCAAGTCCTGATATTGGGGATCTCAAGTGCCTGCTTGGTGCTCTACCTTCCTGTGACCAAGCCTGTATGAAAGGTGCAAGACAAAGTCCCCTTTACTTTTCTCTTTGCTTTTCACAAGAAAAAGAAGTTTTGCCTCAGAGTCACCACAGCTGGTAATGTGCTGAGTCTCACCTGATGTCAGCACATCTCAGGGGCTCTTCCATGGTCCTTGACAGGGTGCCTCTGTATCACTGCAAATTATTCATGGCCCTAGGGTTCTTCAGTTAGCAGGTGATGAATGCTGTCATGGCTGTCCTTTTCTTCAATGTAGCATGTTCCCCTCTAACCCAGAGTGTGTCTGGAAATATCTGGGAGCTAGGTCTTAGAATGGTAGCTTTATGACTCTGACCAGTGCCCTATCTTGTTGTGGCCTAGCTGGTATTCAAGATAGAAGACAAACTCCTCCCCATTCTTCCATATCCTTCCCTCAAGCTGAAGGAAGGGGTCTCTTTTGAAGCCAGGAGCTGTACAGCCTAGGGTAAGGGGAAGGATAATGTCAGCCCTCCCCTGGCTGCCCCAGCTGATGTCTCAGTATGTCACATGTCCCCACCCCAGTGTTCACTATCTTTGGGCCTAGTTTAGCACTAGGACTCACCTAAGAGTTGCAGCTTTATGACCTAGGTTGCCTATCAAGTGTACTTGAAGACAGAGTGCTATAGCCCTCAGTGGTGTGGTTTTCAGAAACTCAAGTTCAAACTACAGGAACTGGCAATTCCCTGTTGGCTAGGGCTGGTTTAAGTGCTCCCTCCATAGGTGAGCATCAGCTGAGTTTGGTCAGATTTTTCTTTCTGTTCTAACAAGACAATACTGACTTTGATGCCTCACAATTGCTGTGTTCTTCCTACCCCAGGGTACAGAGATACTCTCTGTGCCATTCAGCTGCTGCTGGGAAGTTGGGGTAGGGGTGGTGTCAATGATTCAGAGCTGTTTTTTCTCTTTTCAGTACTTCTTTCAGCAATATGAAGTTACAATCAGGTTCTGTGTGTGCTTACCTGAGTTTTGGTTCTTGTGAAATTGTTTTTATCTGTGTAGATATTTGTTAACTTGATTTCCTTGTGGGAGGAATAACTGGAGTAGCCTTCTATTCCACCATCTTGTTCCCCTTTTTTACCCCTATTATTAAAGTTTTGCATTGGTGGGGTCCATTACTTACAAATGATGAACCAATATTAATACATTATTATTAACTAAATTCTATAGTTTATATTAAATTTTATTCTTTCTGTTGTACAGTTCTATGAATTTTGACAATGCACCATTACAATATCATGCAGAATAGTTTAACTGACCTAAAAATAACCTGTACTCCAACTGTCCATCACTCTATCTTGTCCTGAATCCCCAGTCTATGGAAACCACAGATATTTTTACTGTCTCTATGCTTTTGCCTTTTCAGAATTGCATATAGTTGGAATTATGCAATTCATAGCCTTTTAAGACTGTTTCTTTCACTTGACAATGTGCATTTAAGGTCTTTGTGGCTTGATAGCTCATTCCTTTTTATTACCGAATATCATTTCATTGTCTAGATGTACCACCCTTTGTTAACCTATACCCTACTGAAGGTCATCTTTCTTGATTCCAATCTTTAGCAAATATAAATAAAACTGCTATAAACATTGCTGTGAAAGTTTTTGTGTGGATACAAATTTTCAACTCATTTGAGTAAATACCAAGGAGCATGATTACTGGATTGCATGGAAAGACTAGATTTAACTTTTAAAGAAACTTACAAAATGTCTTCTTCCTAAGTGTCTGTGCTATTTTTCATTCTTACCAGCAATGAATTCAAGTTCCTGATGCTTCACATCATTGCCAGCATTTGGTGGTGTCTGTGTTTTGGATTTTAGCCACTCTTGTTGGTGTGTAATGGTATCTGATTGCTGCTTAATTTGCAATTTTCTAATGACATATGATACTGAGCATCCTTTCATATGATTATTTACCATCTGTATATATTCTTGGATGAGGTGTGTGTTCAGGTCTTTTGCACACTTTTGCATTGTTTGTTTTGATATAACTTGGTTATCAGTTACATGTCTGCAAGTACTTTTTCCCAGTCTGTGACTTGTGTTTCCATTATCTTACAAACGTCTCTCACAGAACAAAAGCTTTTAATTTAAAAAAATCAAACTTATTAATTTATTTTTCATGGTCCATGTGTATGCTCTTGTACCTGAAAACTCATTGCCAAATCCAAATCACCTGGATTTTCTCCTTTGTTACTTCTGTTTTACCATTTTGAATTTTATGTTAGTGTTTGTGATCCATTTTCAGTTAATGTTTGTGAAAGGTGTAAGGTTAGTGTCTAGATAATTTTTTGCATGTGGATGTCCAGGTATTCCAGTGTCACTTGTTGAAAAGACTATGCTTTCTACATTAAACTGACTTTGCTCTTTTGTCAAAAATGAATTGACCCTATAGACCCCATATTGATTATATTTATGTAGGTATTATTATGGGATCTCTAGTCTGTTCCACTGTTCTATTTGTCTATTCTTTTGCCATACTAACCTCACTTGATTACTGTCATTCTATAGTAAATCTGGAAGTGAGGTCGTGTCAGTCCTCCAACTTTATTCTTCTTTTTCAGTACTGAAATTTTGATGGGATTATTTTAATGTTGTGGGTACTGAGAGGGACAATAACTATTTCTTGACACTGTCATGGATAGAACTGCCCTCATTTTACCAGACACATTTCCAGAATTTAAACATTGTGGTAAGGACTTGCACTATGTATGTGCTCATGGCTCATCTTTTTTTGTGAGCTGCTGTGAGTATTTGTCCTGAATAAGTTTGTCAAATGAATCAACTCAGAGGAGGATGTCAGCAGTGTGATATCATATCTGAGATTCTAGAGAAAGCTGGATGTAATTAAAATCGTACATGATGTCAAGATTGATGATGTACACTATCCACACCTGGATAAAGGCATAGTGTCTTTTAACATATAAAGGTAAACTGCAGCTGAGAGGTTGTTGAAATAGTAAACAGAAAACACTTTCCAAACATATAATAGCAAAATACTTACCAGTTACTTATTGGATAGAATCAATAATCTTCATAATTTTGGCTATTGGTATGAGTGCCATAATGCATAGAGTCTTGGTATTAATGTTTTGGAAATCCACAATTAGATGCCATTTGTTATTTCCAAGTTTACAAACATGCAAAAGTTTGTTGTTAATTGAGGAAGCAGTGGTAATAATTACCTCTTATACAAATAGGTCTTGTATAATTGCTTTCAATCCTTGGAGGACACGTTTTAGTTTACATTGAGCCATAAAATACATTTTAACTGGGGTAGGAGGTTTATGGATCCCACTTTTTACACCAATTTGAAAATGCCAAAGACTAAATTTAATTTTAAATATTACTTATATATTAAAGTGTGCATGCCTACTATGAGATGTTTTAGCACAATAGGTGCCGTGACCATGGGAAAATTAGACAAAACAGTAGTTCTGATGGTTAAAGTGAGGCATATCTTTTTGTTCTTTATTTAAGTTCAGTAACTCCCCCAAGATTATTGGAAATATTATAATTAAATTTAGAAGGATCCTTGAGTATTATTCTAATTTGAGTCCCAATGTTGGTTAAGGCCATGAAAGTTTGCTAATTTGTGCATTTTATCAGATGTTAAAGTTAATTCAGAATCTATATCTTAGAGGTGCAAAAGTCATCAAGTGCCCTTTTGTGGTTTTGTTATATAAATTACTTTAATAAATTTTGAATTTACAATTGGGTCACCTGTATGTTTTAGAGGTGCAAAAGTCATCCACTGCCCTTTTGCCTTCTTGATATAAATTATTTTAGTAAATTTTGAATTTCCAATTGGGTCTAACTGTGGGCCTCTGTTAAAAATTTTTGTCTAATTTTCCATATCCAGGATTCCTTCTTTCTTTCTGTTGTTCTTTCTTTGTGTTTGTAGGCTGTTTACTAGATGTACTTCAGGTAGGTGCGTCCTCTCTACCTTCCTTATACTTTTGTTTCTTTCTCCAGGTATACTCAAGTCAGTATTATCAGGGTTAAGATTTTCCCCCATGATGATGTTTGAATTAATTCCTTGACTATGTTCAAAGAGTGCTGACTGTCTGTCCCTTTAACTTTGAGGATCTGGATCATTTTTTTGGTAAGACAGTCATAGGCAGCAGCGGCAATGGGATTCTGTAGCATCCTAGTGAGCCATCTACCTTTGAGTGTTACCTCAGCATGCCACACAGTAACTTCCATTTCTCTTTCTCTCATGAGTGACCAACAAACAGACCCATATAGTGCATGTTATATCAGTCTTTCCCCCAAATATTCTGTAGAACATTCGCCATACCTGGTTGATATACACAACCAATTGTAACAGTATAAGAGTTATTCAACTAAATATAGAATCTGTTACTGCTTATTCCATAATTGAGACACACAATTTATTCTAAGCGCATAGATAGATCTGGGCTGAAACATACAAACCAGGGCTACTTTAAGAAGGGCCTCAAGTTCATACTTCTATTTCTAAATGGCAGTTACTGAAACTTTTGACATGGGTTTGTTAAATCTATAACAAAGGGTAAGAATGACTTGACAAGTGCAGCACATTGAAGCACAGCTCAAGTGCATGTTTGCCAGCAAGCACCAACTCAAAAAGCATGCCCACCAGCAGGTAACAGAGACTGCTAGTGAATCAAAGCAAGATAATAAGACTCCTACTCATGGTAGTGATCATATAGACATCCTTCTCACTGCATCAGTTGTTGTGAACACACCACAGATAAAGGATGGATGCTTACCCAAAATTTGATTCAAATATAAAGACTGACGATGCAACCCACACACCAAGAGAATATAAAATGTCTTATTATTCACATAATGGGGCTTTCTACGGAGAGCATGGCATGCTTCCCAAGCAGGCCCAGAATAGCTTGAGAGAGATGTTGAAGGAGACTGGCTCTGAGTTTTTACGGTGATTAGAGGTTGGGACTGTGGTGAGGATTCCTACACACAGGCAGGAATGTTTCCATAGTTTGAAACCCCCACTGTTGCTAAAGGTGGAAAAACCCAGGCTTTCTTATCAGCTTGCCAAGATGTGGACAGAAGGGAAGGGAGCTTAAAGTCTATCAGCAGTAAAACATAAAAAAAAAATGGAATCAGACTCTATTACATTTATGTCTACCGAATATGTCTTTATTGGTTATATATGTTGAAAATATCCTAGCTGTGTCCCTTGTCTTTTATGGTTCGTTTTCATGAACAGACTTTCTTAATTTTAATATAGTCAAATTCATATGTATTTTTATTTATGTGCTATACTTTTGTATGTTGTGTAAGAAACATTTTATTATCCTGAAACCATAAAGATTCTCTCCAGTTTTACATTCTAAATGAGTTATAGTTTTTCCTTTTAAATTTAGTTTTAAAACTCATGTAACAATATAACTTATATTCAAAACTGGGGAACTTTTGAGAGTTAAATGGGGTTAGTTGTGATATTTCAGAATAAAAGCCATAACTGTGACTATTTCAGACAAATGGGATATATTGTCACTGTATCAATAACACATCTTGAATTGAATTTTAAATAGTTTGAGATCAGTGTTCAATTTTATTTTTCCAAATACATACCCAATTATCACAGCACCATTTATTGAAAATACCATTTTTCTTCAATATTCTGTAATACTATCTTACAACAATGATTCATATTTGATTAGGTCTTCCTGTCCTTTTCCAATCTTCAAACAGTCTATCTCTTAACCATAATAATATTACACTAAATAATAAAGCAGAAAAATACATTTTCATATTGAGAAAAGCAAATTGTTCTTCTTCAAGGGTGTCTTGGTTATTCTCAGCCCTTTGCCATTAGCATACACTTAGAACCAGATTATATAATTCCAACATAAATAAACTTTTGTGGTTTTGATTGTAACAAATTACTTACAGGTCCATTGGGAAAGTTTTGACTTTTTTATTTTTATTGAGATGTCTTAAAATTTCTCTCTGTATAGGACATTATAGATCATGTACATATGTAGAAGTGTGAGGAATTTGAGCACATCAAAGAAAACTATATGACCATAAAAGGCAATAGGACACAAATTTTATTAGAGAATGCTTGGACAAGTTTACATAAGAGCAGAAGCCTTTCATAGCATAAGAATATACGTAGGCTTATGGGAATGGGGTCATCTTCCAGAAGGGGAGGAGAGCAAGGAAGCTCTCAAGGAAAATAAGGACCAAAGAAGAAACATAAATGTCTAGTTTGTGTCACGCAGAAGCACAGTGGGGAGCCTCTGGATCAGACAATGGTGAAGGGCTATAGCAACTTGAAGCCTTATAACTACACTTCTCTTTCTTATTAATAGTCAGCAGATGTGGGGTAAAATTGTGTAAAGTATTCAGAGTAGCCAGGCTCTAAATGGCTAAAAATCCTGCTTTTTAGAGTTATTTCTAAAATATCTTTATGTGAAAAATTTGAATTTGCTACCAACTAGTGGGTCTCACATAGCAGTGACAAAATAAACAACCTAAGGGCCAATATACAAGGAGTCTTTTTGGCTGATTTATATAACACTTTTTATTAAAAGTATTCATAAATATCTGCTTAGATGCTGTTATATGTGGCATCATCTTTCAAATTACATTTTCTAAATGATTCTTTCTGCTGTGTAAAAGATTATTTATTTGTTGTATTGAACTTTTATCCAGTAATCTTTCTAAACTTGTTCGTTGACTATATTTATATGTAGACAATTTAAATTTGTCTATGGACATTGTTACATTGCCAAAATGCGGAATTTCTCATTTTCTAATCCTTACATATATTTTCCCTTTCCTTGCCTCGTTATACTGACATGGACCTCCACTAAAATGTTGAATGTAATTTTAAAGAGTAGTTGAAGTTGCCTAATACTCAATCTGAGAGTGAAATCACAGTGTATTATAAAAAAGGCATGTTAATTATAAAGCTTTTTTCCCTTCAGACATTTTGAAGTATTTACTGATATCATCTTCTCATACATTTATAATTTTATTTTTACATTTAAATATTTGACCCATTCAATATTTACTGTGATGCACAGTGTGAATATCAATTCAAAATTTCCTTTTCCAAATTACTATATTAAACATCTAACAACATGTGTTTTAAAGTACATATTCACACCATTATTTGATAAGCCATTTTATTATCTACTTAATATCCAAATATATATGTGTCTATTTCTGGCATTTCTGTTCTGTTCCAATTATCTACATGACTTTGTATCATTTTGAGGCTAATCAGGAGACAGAGACTGCTCAGTTACCCAAACTGTGGAACTGTAATATAATATGAGACTATGAAAAAATAATATTAGATGTAAGAGAATACTATTAAGTACAACAGTTAAAGGAGAATACCCAAAGAGGACAAACTTGGAAGTAGAGCTTGTTTTCTAATACCGAGTTTAATATGTTCTTTGAGAAAGAACACACAGTTGTAGCCCACTGTATGACAAAGAAGTTTACTGGATTATCCAGTCCAGAATAGTCTGCAGTTTCTGGAAAAGCATGGAGTACCTCTTCAGTTCACAAGCAAGCTGCAATCAGTGGCCAACATGAGGTCATACAGAGGCAGTGGGACTGCCACTATGGAAAAGGAGCCCGTACCACATGGTGTCCATATCAAGAGGACCATGGCATCAAGAGGGTCATTAAAGAGAAAACTTCAAAGAGAAAAGTGATCAAAGAGATTTGATACCCCTGGTGCAGTGTGACTAGTGTCCTTATAAGAAGAGTTTTGAACACACAGAAGGAGACGTCAAGGATGTGCATGCATACAGGAAAGGCCATGTGAAGAAAGTGAGAAGGTGGCTGTCTGAAAGCCAAGAAAAGAAACCTTATGAGAAACCAAGGATTTGATCTTGGATTGTGTAGCTTCCAGAACTCTAAAAAATAAAGTTATGTTGTTTGTTTAAGCCGCTCAGTCTGTGGTATTTTGTTATGGTAACCCTAATAGACTAAAATAACGTGGAAGCCAAAATGTAGTGAAATAATATACTTAGAGAGCTGAAAGAATAATAGTAATAATTGCTAACCTAAAGCTGTATACTCATTAAAATATTATTCAAAAGAAAAGGCAAACTAATTTGCAGAACAAAAAAATTCATATATTTTATTTTTGGAAGACTTACACTAAAAGAAATAGTAATTGGAATTCTTCAGACAAAACAAAAATTATTTCTGACAGAAATAGAAATAACCAATTGAATGAAAATTAAAAACACAGTAAAGATAGGGCCAACACAAAATAATAATTTCAATGATAATGTGTTGTTTAATATACATTTAAAATTGAAGTGTATAATACATTAACAAAAAGGCAAGGCAGTCTGAATGTTATTAAATGTTCTAAATATTTAGCATTTTCTGAAAAATGGGAAACATTCTAGTTTATATTACACTTCAATCAATTGTTTACACATTTTATCTCTAGATTAACTACTAAAATATAGTAAAAGAATACATAACTGTTGGCCGGGCGCGGTGGCTCATGCCTGTAATCCCAGCACTTTGGGAGGCCGAGGCGGGTGGATCACGAGGTCCGGAGATCAAGACCACCCTGGCTAATACGGTGGAACCCCGTCTCTACTAAAAATACAAAAAATTAGCCCGACGTAGTGGCGGGCGCCTGTAGTCCCAGCTACTCCGGAGGCTGAGGCAGGAGAATGGCGTGAACCCGGGAGGCAGAGCTTGCAGTGACCTGAGAT
Source organism: Homo sapiens (assembly GCF_000001405.40). Classification (NCBI taxonomy): domain Eukaryota; kingdom Metazoa; phylum Chordata; class Mammalia; order Primates; family Hominidae; genus Homo; species Homo sapiens. Next base: position 81,716,164 of record NC_000023.11, on the reverse strand, counting down.
TGCGCCACTGCACTCCAGCCTGGGTGACAGAGCCAGACTCCGTCTCAAAAAAAAAAAAAAAAAAAAGAATACATAACTGTTAAGCTGATTTAATAAAGAAACATAATAGTACAAAATACTTGATTAAACCTAAAGAAAACAAAAAAGCTAGTAATAATTATGGAACAAATCTGAAAAGTGAAAAAATAGATTAAAAAATAAAATATATTAGTATACTAAATGTAAAAGAATAAAATAAGCCAACTAAAAGACAAAAGCTGGATAAAATAATACACAGCCAAACAATTCTGTTTGTAAGAATACACCTTAAACATAAGTACACAGAAAAGGTGACAGTAAGATGAATAAAAACATATAGACAGGAGTGGTGGCTCACGCCTGTAATTCCAGCACTTTGGGAGGCCAAGGCAGGTGGATCAGTTGAGCTCAGGAGTTTGAGACCAGTCTGCACAATATGGTGAAACTCCATCTCAACAAAAAATACAAAAATTAGCCAGGCATGGTGGCTGTGCCTGGAGTCCCAGCTACTTGGGAGGCTGAATTTGGAGGATGGCTTGAGCCTGGGAGGCAGAGGTTACAGTGAGCTGAGATTGGGCCACTGCACTCCAGCCTGGGTGAGAGAGTGAGACCCTGTCTCAAAAACAACAACAACAACAACTACAACAACAAAGATACGCATATGCTAGCCAAAAGAAAACTGGTATAGCTTTCCTAATATTAAAGAAAGTTGAGAAAATTGGCTATATTATGGGCCATGAAGCAAGCTTCAACAATTTCAAAAACCAGAATTCATTCACAGTATATGTGCATGTCGCAGTTAATAAAGGAATAAATTTAAAAAGCCAGTAAATTGTAAAATAACATTCTTTGAAATTAAGCAATACATTTCTGTGTAACTCGTTAGTCAAAAGAAAATCAAAATGAAAATTAGAAAATGTATTTATTGAATAAGCAGTAAAATATAATAATATATCAACCATTTATTTTATAATAGTTATATCTATGCTTAGAGTAACATTTATAGCTTTAGATACATATATTTGAAATGAATAAAAGTTGAAAATCATCTATCTCAAGGAGTTAGTAAAAGAACAGCAAGCTAAACTCAAAAAATATTGTAAAAGAAATGAAAACATGTTTATTAAAATGATCAAAATTTAATAACATGAAAAATTTTTAAATGGAAATACACGCAAAGATGTCATCATTTGAAAATATTACTAAAATGAATAAATATTTAGTAAGAGTGATAAAGAAATTAAATAGAAAGGACAAATATAGCAGCATCAGGAAGGGAAAAAAAAGGACCCACTATAAATCTACAAACACTAGAAAAATAAGAAGATAAACAACTGTAGGTGAACAAATTTTAAAACTTAGAAAAAACAAAAAAATTTGGAAATATACAACTTATCAAAACAAACACAAGGGAGAAACATAAATTCTGAATAAACATGTATTAAAAGAAATATATCTGTAATTTGAAATGTTCACTCAACAAGATGTCTAGGACTAGTTGGAGAATTATTTCAAATAGTTAAGAAAAAATAATATCAACAATAGACAAAATATTTCATAGAACAGAAAAAAAGAAACACCTCCCAATTTATTTTATGGGAGGAAGTTTACATGGATAAGACAACTTACAATCCCTCCCATGGACATAGATGAAAAATATTAAAGAAAATATTGGCAAAGCTAAACTGTGTGATATACATATAGTATAATGTATCATAACCAAGCTTATCCCATAAATACAAGGCAAGTTTCACATCTGAAAACTTAACACAGTAACAGAATAAAGGTAAAGTTTAAGAATCGCCTCAATATATAGTAAAACTTTCTTTATATATGAATTCAACAGCTATTCATGATAAAACTCTTAACATACTAGGAATATAAGGACGGTTTCTTAATCTCAAAGAGACTATTTTAGTAAACCTGTGGAAAAGATCATAACTAATAGTAATTTTCTGAAAGCTTTTGATGTGGTTGGCTGTGTCGCCACCCAAATCTCATCTTGAATTGTAAGCCCCGTAATCCCCTTGTGTCTTGGGAGGGATCCGGTGGGAGATTGAATCATGGAGGCGGTTTTCCTGATTGATAGTGAGTGAGTTCTCATGAGATCTGATGGTTTTATAAGCTTCTGGCATGTTCCCAGCTTGCACTCATTCTCTCTTCTGCTGCCCTGTGAAGAGGTGCCTTCTGCCATAATTTTACATTTGCTGAGGCCTCCTCAGCCATTCAGAACTGTGAGTCAATTAAACCTCTTTTCTTTTTTTTCTTCTTTTTTTCAGATTAGTTCTTTTTTTTTATTATACTTTAAGTTTTAGGGTACATGTGCACAATGTGCAGGTTAGTTACATATGTATACGTGTGCCATGCTGGTGTGCTACACCCATTAACTCGTCATTTAGCATTAGGTATATCTCCTAATGCTATCCCTCCCCCCTCCTCCCACCCACAACAGTCCCCAGAGTGTGATGTTCCCCTTCCTGCGTCCACGTGTTCTCATTGTTCAATTCCCACCTATGAGTGAGAACATGCGGTGTTTGGTTTTTTGTCCTTGCGATAGTTTACTGAGAATGATGATTTCCAATTTCATCCATGTCCCCACAAAGGACATGAACTCATCATTTTTTATGGCTGCATAGTATTCCATGGTGTATATGTGCCACATTTTCTTAATCCAGTCTATCATTGTTGGACACTTGGGTTGGTTCCAAGTCTTTGCTCTTGTGAATAGTGCTGCAATAAACATACATGTGCATGTGTCTTTATAGCAGCATGACTTATAGTCCTTTGGGTATATACCCAGTAATGGGATGGCTGGGTCAAATGGTATTTCTATTTCCACATCCCTGAGGAATCGCCACACTGTCTTCCACAATGGTTGAACTAGTTTACAGTCCCACCAACAGTGTCAAAGTGTTTCTATATCTCCACATCCTCTCCAGCACCTGTTGTTTCCTGACTTTTTAATGATTGCCATTCTAACTGGTGTGAGATGGTATCTCATTGTGGTTTTGATTTGCATTTCTCTGATGGCCAGTGATGGTGAGCATTTTTTCATGTGTTTTTTGGCTGCATAAATGTCTTCTTTTGAGAAGTGTCTGTTCATGTTCTTTGCCCACTTTTTGATGGGGTTGTTTGTTTTTTTCTTGTAAATTTGTTTGCATTCATTGTAGATTCTGGATATTAGACCTTTATCAGATGAGTAAGTTGTGAAAATTTTCTCCCATTTTGTAGCTTGCCTGTCCACTCTGATGGTAGTTTCTTTTGCTGTGCAGAAGCTCTTTAGTTTCATTAGATCCCATTTGTCAATTTTGGCTTTTGTCGCCATTGCTTTTGGTGTTTTAGACATGAAATTCTTGCCCATGCATATGTCTTGAATGGTAATGCCTAGGTTTTCTTCTAGGGTTTTTATGGTTTTAAGTCTAACGTTTAAGTCTTTAATCCATCTTGAATTAATTTTTGTATAAGGTTTAAGGAAGGATCCAGTTTCAGCTTTCTACATATGGCTAGCCAGTTTTCCCAGCACCATTTATTCAATAGGGAATCCTTTCCTCATTGCTTGTTTTTCTCAGGTTTGTCAAAGATCAGATAGTTGTAGATATGTGGCATTATTTCTGAGGGCTCTGTTCTGTTCCATTGATCTATATCTCTGTTTTGGTGCCAGTACCATGCTGTTTTGGTTACTGTAGCCTTGTAGTATAGTTTGAAGTCAGGTAGCATGATGCCTCCAGCTTTGTTCTTTTGGCTTAGGGTTGACTTGGCAATGCGGGCTCTTTTTTGGTTCCATATGAACTTTAAAGTAGTTTTCTCCAATTCTGTGAAGAAAGTCATTGGTAGCTTGATGGGGATGGCATTGAATCTCTAAATTACCTTGGGCAGTATGGCCATTTTCAAGATATTGATTCTTCCTACCCATGAGCATGGAATGTTCTTCCATTTGTTTGTATCCTCTTTTATTTCATTGAGCAGTGGTTTGTATTTCTCCTTGAAGAGGTCCTTCACATCCCTTGTAAGTTGGATTCCTAGGTATTTTATTCTCTTTGAAGCAATTGTGAATGGGAGTTCACTCATGGTTTGGCTCTCTGTTTGTCTGTTATTGGTGTATAAGAATGCTTCTGATTTTTGTACATTTATTTTGTATCCTGAGACTTTGCTGAAGTTGCTTATCAGCTTAAGGAGATTTTGGGCTGAGACAATGGGGTTTTCTAGATATACAATCATGTCATCTGCAAACAGGGACAATTTGACTTCCTCTTTTCCTAATTGAGTACCCTCTATTTCCTTCTCCTGCCTAACTGCCCTGGCCAGAACTTCCAACACTATGTTGAATAGGAGTGGTGAGAGAGGGCATCCCTGTCTTGTGCCAGTTTTCAAAGGGAATGCTTCCAGTTTTTGCCCATTCAGTATGATATTGACTGTGATTATCTCAATAGATGCAGAAAAGGTCTTTGACAAAATTCAACAACACTTCATGCTGAAAACTCTCAATAAATTAGGTGTTGATGGGACGTATCTCAAAATATTAAGAGCTATCTATGGCAAATAAATCTCTTTTCTTTAGAAGTTACTCAGTCTCGGGTATTTCTTCATAGCAGTGTGAGAATGGACTAATACAGCTTTCATGCTGAGTTGGAAAAATACAAAGATGTCCATTCTCATCACTTCTATTCATCATTATACTGAAAGTAGAAGGCTATGTGATAAAACAAGTAAATGTATATAGAAGCCATACAATTGGGAAAAATTATTATTAATCACAAATATATCTGCACATATGGAAACTCTTAAAGATTCTGCAAACCATTTATTATAATTAATAAATTAATGTAATAAGGTTGTTGAATACAAGGGCCATATAACACCAAATACACTTCTATATTCTAGACATAAACAGTTAAAAATGAAGTTTCAAAAGATAAAATGTTTACTTACATAAAAAACATCAAATATAACTACATTTTAATTGCTCAGTTATAGTACAACTAAGTTTCCAACATATTTTTAAAAATAACAGTATCTATAAGGCATCCTATTGTTTTTGCTGTTATTTTCACTGTTGTGTTTAATTTAGTAAATAAGCCAGACACAGAAAGACAAATACCACTATAATCTTACTTATATGAGGAATCTAAAATGGTTGAAATTATCGAAGTGGAGAGTAGAATGGTGCTTACTAGGGGATGGGATGATGTTGGTCAAAGGGTACCAAGTTTCAATTGAAGAGAGAATAAGTTTTGGCTATCTATTGTACAGCATGGTGACTATAGTTAACAATGTATATAGTCCTTTAAAACTGCTGAGAAAAAGTTTTAAACATTTTCACCACAAAAAAATTTTTATTGTAAGACAGTTGTAATGTATATCTAAATGTAAAATAATGTGTGTGCTTTTGTTCATTTATTTGTTTGTTTACAGACCCTTAAAAACTGGAAAATGTGATTTCATTAAAATTATCTTTAAACAAAAACTAGGAATAAATCTAATAAAAGATGTAAATTTTTATATACACAAAATTATACCTTGTTATTGTAATAAATTTAAAAAGAAAAATAAATGGGGAAGATCTAATGCTCATAAATTGGAAGCTTCAGTGTTGTAAATATGTCAATTAATCATAAATTAACCAATAGACTTGATTCAATCTCCACCAATATAGCAGCATGTGTTTCTGTAGTATATAACAAACTGAAACTAAACTTTGTATGAAATGCAGAGTGCCAAGAATAGCCAACATAATCTTGAAGAATGAATTTCAAGTACTATTAAAAAGTTATTGTAATTAAAACAGCATGGTATTTGTGCAATAAAAGACAGTTAAATAAATCACTGGAAAAATATATTGATTCCAGAAGAGAGGCCAAGGAGTTGAAGCCCTTTGTAATCATTTTGCATTCTGTCTAGTATGCTCTTTTTATTCCCCAGATGGTTAGCTTCCTCACTTTCTTCATTTATTTTATTCAATTGTCTTTCTCAATAAAAATTCCCTAAGCCATCAAATATTTTGTCTCCAAATATTTCATATTTATATTTATATATTTATATATTGGCCTGCTTAATTTTCTTTCTTTTGCACTTATTGCTATCTAACATAGTATATGCTTTACTGACTTACTATACTTATTTTCTGTCTCCCCAACTAGAATATTAGATCCATTTGTCTATATAATTCACAGAGTAAGCACCTACTATATTGCCTCATATATAGTAGGCTATGAATACATATTTGTTTAATGAATGAATGAATTTATTTGAACTTCAAACCTCCCCCCATGTGATTCATACTAAATACATTGAAGCACATGCTGAGTAACTTGTAGACAGAACTCATGCAAAATTGCAAAATAATTATTATCTCTCCAAGCTCATGGTGTTTTCATATTTCCCATTGATAACCAGAGCACATCACCAAAACAACACACTGGGACCTAATCCAACTTCATCTGCATACTCTTCACTGATTCTTCATCTACAATCAAAGCTGACTGTCTTAAAATCTATTTACTTTTTTTCTAAAGAGTGTTTTAAACAAAATTTTAATGTTATTTATAGAACAGATTTACATGTTAGCAGTGATCCTCTGGAAACCCTGCCTTAGTCATAAAAGAATGACTAGTGGTGGCAATGTTTGGGAATTGCCAGGTGCATTCATTGGCCTCTAAATCATGTAATTCTTTTGATATTTCACTTATGTATGTCTTCCCAAGCACCTCCTTTAGCTTGCTCCCTGCTTTCCCTTCATGGAAGAAATCACAGTTGTATATCTACATACACACATAAACATATATGAATAGACCATATACTTTGTGAATATGACTCTATACTATCAGAATAAAACCTCTAAAAGAAAAATTGTGTCGTATTTGCTCCACAGCATTTAATTCAGTGACTGGTGCATAGTAAACCCTAAGTTAATGTTTATTTACTTAAAATTACTAGAATTTTACAAGGGATCTCCATTTGAGGAAAGGGGACATAACTAGAGTCTGGGACTCAAAGTGTAATGTTTAATAACATCAAAATTTTGCCACAGGCTAGTGTTGCTTTCTCATGGAAACTAGGAATTGGTCCTCAATGTTATTAGAGCTCAGAGATTCTACTTTATTGAGGAAATTTTTCTGAATCTTTGAGCCAGCTTCTTTCTCCGATTAATTACACTTTAATGTTTTTTACTTCTTCTCAGTTTCAGCATCTTCTTACTAACCTTTTAATGCACTACAAGCAAATTACTGATTGATAAGGTATTTTCAAGCTGAAATATGTGACTGAGAATCTGATTAGTCTAGAAAATTCCATATTGTTCACATGTGAGTAAAATTTCTGGAAACATGTAACATACAAATTGGCAGGCCTGGTTAAGTTGCATATACTTGGTCAAAACAGCTGTGACTGACAGCTGAGGGGTAGGTCAAATTCATCCACATTCTCCCCTTGTGGTGGGTGAGTCACACAATAAAGAATGGCAGCAGTCTGAGCTTACTGCCTCCACCGCACCATCAGGGTAATAACGTGTTACTCAATACTGCAAAAGGAATTTGTAGAACTATAGAACAATTATGCAATAGTTCCGTGCTACATCAATTTTTCTTAACATTTTGGGGTAATACATATATTTAATTTATTTTTGTGATAAATGTGCATATACACTGTGAGATACAATTCAATACTGGAATGATGTTTTTAAAAGTGAAACAAGAGATTTCTAAGAACTGTAACTCTTGTAGAGGACCACAGATCTTCATTCCCCAAGGAACGTATATTAATTTCCTCTGGCATTTGGGGCTCTTCAATGAAAAAACTTAGTATGCACCAAGTGTAATATCAAAAAATAGCTCTCATTTATTAAGGGTTTATTACATTTTATATGCATTATTTCCCTTATTCTAGATAAATCTTTGAGTATTCTTATTCCTGTTTTGGTGCTTATTAGTATGAATTAATATGCACAAAGATATACAATTAATAAAAAGTGAAAACAAGACCCAAATCCAGTTCAATGAAACTGGAACCCCTACTCTTAATTATTACACAACTTTGACCTGTCTTACCTTGGAAATGTTCAGGTGCAATTTACAGATATTTCACAGCAACATCTGCTTCTTCAAACAGGGGAAGAGGTAATAACTATATAAAGCCATGATGTTAGCCCTGCGTGGTGGTTCACGCGTGTAATCCCAGCACTTTGGAAGGCTGAGGCGGATGGATCACCTGAGGTCAGAGTTCGAGACCAGCCTGACCAAAATGGTGAAATCCCGTCTCTACTAAAAATTAGCCGTATGTGGTAGCCGGCACCTGTAGTCCAAGCTACACGGGAAGCTGAGGCAGGAGAATTGCTTGAATCTGGGAGGCGGAGGTTGCAGTGAGCCAAGATCGCACCACTGCACTCCAGCCTGGGCGACAGAGTGAGACTCCGTCTCAAAAAAAAAAAAAAAAAGTCACGATGTTGAGCCCAGTTTTACATTAAAATCATTTGGCAAACTCAGAAAAAAAAAAATCAATGCTCAGGCATTTTTGCTTTTAAAAATATGTGTTATGTCAACATTGATCAACCTCAATATTGATATTTTCAAAATATTAATGTTCCAGATCTTTGTTACTTAAAATGTGAATTCTGGGCCAGCAGCTTCAGCATCAGCTGGAAATTTGTTTGAAATGCAGAATTCCACCCTAGTCCTCTTTCATGAAAATCTGCATTTTAAGAAGATTCCCTGGTAATTTTTATGTACATTAATAGTTAAGTAGCACTAATACAAAGCAGTGCTTTCCAAACCCAATTGCATGTGACAATCACCTGGATACCTTAGGAAAATACAGATTCCTGGGACTCATGCAAGTCTTACTAAACCGGAATATTTGAGTGTGTATATCAAGCTTGCCCTCATTCCAGAAGTACCTCCCACAAATCCTATTCATCACTGCCATCACCACAATGGGCCTGACAGCTGCTTAATGTTTCTACCATTAAAGAACATTTATTTTAGTTAAAAGTTACATTATTGTATTCAACAAAGAGGAGAAATAATAAAATTCCAAGAAGAAGTAGTATATAATGCATTAATAAGCAGGCAACCAAACTCAAACTTGTTCCTGCCCCCTAGCAGAGATCAAGGATCTTTGGAAAGGAGACACATAAGGGACACATTTTGTGGGGAATGAAGAAGGAAGGGGAAATAGAAGAAAAGGAGACGTCCTGAGAATAGAGCATTGCTTCAGATTCAATAGCCAAAATGAGAGAGTAAAGTATCTGAAAAAAAGAGTAGCTGAAATGAGACATCAGACAAATACTAAAGGCAATTTGTTTTGTATCACAATTTTTCCTAAAACTGGTATCTTCTTCAAAACAGATTGTATACTGGAATCATTAACCAAAGAATTATGCAAAGACATAGTTTAGTCAGCCTGCTCATGGCCCATCTTCAATTCCTTGTTGACATCCTAGCTCTTTGAGAAATGGCCCTTGTAATGAGGTTGTCTAATGTACCAATAGACACTCATTTTAGTTGCTAAAACTGTGTATCAAGTGGAGTTCATAGCATATGACTTTCACTGGGGCCCTGGAATAGGAAAGCTGTGTACTGGTCTGAAAAGAAAATTCATTATTGATAAGGCTGATTAGATATTTCTTCATTGCTTTACTAAATGTTGATCTTTCCTGTAAGAGGTGTGCATTTAAAGTGATAGGCAGTATCTCTCGCTTAATGAAACATTATCTTTCTTATCTGAGTCATTGCATCATGGACACACTCCTTTGAGCAGTGCTGCTAATTCAGTGGCTTTTTAATTCAATTTGATAGGTTTTCTACCCTTTCCATATAATGAAGTACTTACTTCCCAGTGATGCTTTTATTTGCATGTCGGTCAAGACATATTTGCCATGGCAGTTTTTGTCTTGTGGAGAGAAAGAAAGAATAAGCAAGTAAATGGATTCGTCTAAGTATGTAATATTTTCCCTGGATTAATATTAACTTGCCTGAATATTAATCCAAATAATATCTAGCTTGTATATAAACATAAAAGATTGCATGAAAAAGTAGTTAGAGTAAAGGAAATAGGCCTTGGTGGATTTTCAAAGCATGTAATGGAGTGTCAGTGACTTGTCCAACTAAGGAGAATCTCTAAAAGTTAATGTACTCCTCATGAAAGCATGAGAAATTAGCTGTAGCAAATGTACTGTCCCTTTATTATTATAATCAAACAGAATCAATTAAGCTCATATCAATTTGAAATGAACACTGAGTATCTTATATTTTAACTTGTGTTTCCAATACAACACTTAAAACCTTGCCATAGCATCTTCACTATTTAGTTGGCCAAACTATATATAAATTCACTCCCTTCTAAGACAACTCAATCTTATGTCAGCTGTGCCTTTTTCTTCCTCAATATACAGCCACAAATATTTCTTCTTTTATCTTCTACCCACTTGTCCTGGTTCTAGCCCTTGAAGAAACCTGGTCCTTTCTCCCTTTTAAGCTTTTGAGTATAATTATTCTGATTATTCTTTGGTTTATCTTTTCCAGTCCAAGTATCACTAGTTTCTCCAACAAATTTTTATACCATAAAAATTTAAATCCTTACTCCATCTTTATCATTCTCACCTGAATATGCTCTTATTTGTCCTTAATCTCAAAATCTGAAGATAGTTCATCAATTCATACTTCTCCTATCATGAAAATCTTAAAGAAGAAAATATAGCTTTATGAAACATATGGATTACTATTATGATTCTTTATTGCCCACTGGTGGACGTGATAGTGATGCAATTTACTATTTTAATGTAGCCACTAAGTATGCTCAATAGATTAGAGCAAACAGATCCTAGCTAGTGTTTAATGACTAAATGTCAATTGCTCTTGAAACTAACTGGCAGTTTTTTTGTAGGTGACCGTGGAAGTCACAAAGAAAAAAATGACAGAAACTCATCCTCAATGGAGATGTAATTTTATCTGGAGACTGTATTCCATAGTGTTTTCAAACTTCCAAGTGTTTATTTATCACTTGAGTGTTCCACACTGTGCAAGAAACCATATAGAATATATAATTATCTACTGTCCTAGTGCTAAAGGAAATTATGGCCTATCTGTAGTATGGATACATGTCCTAGTTAGCCCAATACAATATTTTTTATTCCAGTTGTCTCATAATAATTAATAGCACGCATTTTAACAAAAAATGTCTTTTTTTACATGTATTACAAAAGTATGTATTACATACTTATGTATTACAAAAATAATACACGCTTCTTTCAGGTGTGACTAATAAAAAAGCCTCTCTGAAAGACTGTGTTGAACAGAGACCTTGCCCATCCCTCTGATTCACATGAGCTTATAATATAAACATTGAACATTTATTGTGTTAAACCACTGTAATTGGAGTTATTTGTTAAAATAGCCTACCATATTGAAGGTAGGCAGCATGAAAGTTAGTCATTGATGAAAATCATTCTATTGTTAAACATCTTCCTACTATAACACTTTCAAGTTTCCCTGAAAGTGAAGAGAACATGAATTGGAAAACGAATATGTTCCCAGAGCAGTATTTCAATTCAAGAAAGTTAGGAGGGAAATAAAGTCAAGCCTTAGGGATATTATTAACTCCTTATAGGTCGAATTATTGCTATAGTAACTTAAAAGGCCAGTGCTTGTTCTATCAGCTACAAAGAATATGTAAAGACCACCGATGTGACACCGTTCACATTCTTAAATCATTATCTCTTTCTTCCTAGAAAAATTACAGGTTTCCCATCTTGTTTTTCCTTCAACTTGTTGTTCTTAATTTGCATTTCATGAAATTTGATGTAATTTTGTAAGTCGCTTAGTATCTCTTTAGAAAGTGGTAGGGAAGGAAGGAAATGGAAGAATCGGCTCATTTGTATTCGTTGAACTGTCTCAAAATAAGCATGTCTAGGTTTATAAACTGTTCAGACTCACTACTAGCATTGGATTGTAATGACTGGTTCCTCATTCCTTTCTGAGATCTTTCCTTCTAGACCTACTCACGAAAAAAATTATAAATTTTTAACTTATTTAGAAATTGATGACTTTTAAATTATATATATACATATAATTTTGTATAAAACCTTGGCTTCTCTGGTCAGTCTTTCCCAAAACAGGTAAGTCAAAATAAAATAGTAAATATCCCAAATGTTGAAAAGACAAAATAGAAATTATGTTATTTATTACATGAGAGAAAAGTAAAAAGTACCTTTATGTTTTAACACTTTTGTTCTAAACTCAGTTCGTATTCCTGCCAAAGTAAATTTGCTCTAGAACCTGTTTCTTTAATAAAAGAATTCTTAACAAGGACTCGGGGTCATTGTTCTCAATATCAAATTTGTGTATCGAGATTGAGATTACCATGTGATTATACTGACTGTATTCTGAATCCAGATAGACATTTTCTTGATTAAATCATCAGTATTAGTTTTTGTTTATAAAATTATATTTATACTAAAAACAGATACAGCTTAAATCTATATTAAGTGGGAATTTGATTTGTCTAGATTCTAGTTAACCTAATGACATTTCTAATCCACCTCCAAACCCCTTGAAGCACAATAACAATCCTGACAAAAATAAATCAAAACACTCACTTTCTAGTATGTTCATCTGACAGTTCTGTTACTGTGGGAAACTGTGTGTGAATAAATAACGATTTATCCTACATGTTTTTTTTTTATTATACTTTAAGTTCTAGGGTACCTGTGCACAACGTGCAGGTTTGTTACATATGTATACATGTGCCATGTTGGTGTGCTGCACCCATTAACTCGTCATTTACATTAGGTATATCTCCTAATGCTTTCCCTCCCCCCTCCCCCCACCCAAAAACAGGCCCCGGTGTGTGATGTTCCCCTTCCTGAAAAAAAATGCCAAAGTTTTCAGCCATAAAAATGAACAAAATAGTGTCTTATGAAGCCCCTTGGATGGAGCTGGAGGCCATTATTCTAAGCGAAGTAACTCAAGAATGGAAAAGCAAATACAGTATATTCTCACTGACATGTAGGAGCTAAGCTATGGGTATGCAAAGGCATACAGAGGCATACTGAGTAGTATAATGTACATTGGAGACTCAGAAAGGAGGAAAGTGGAAGGAAGATGAGGAATAAAAACTACATATTGGTTACAATGTACACTGCACTGCTGATGGGTGCACTAAAATCTCAAACTTCACCACTATACAATTCATCCACGTAACCAAAAACCACTTGTACCCCTAAAGCTATTTAATTTTTTTAAATGCCAGAGTTTCGTGTATTCCACCTAAATTGTAGATAATTATAATAATATCTTTTCTTAGTACCAAATCATAACATCTGAGGTTTCTCTTTTCTTTTACCAGCAACAACTTGGGTAGCATAATATATATATAAATTAATACTAGGACTTTGACATAAAGGAAGGTAAAAATTTATAAATGCAAGGGTAGGAATTAAAAGTACCACCAGACATACTTTCTGAGGCTGAGGAAATGGTAACATCAGACACTATAAAATTTGAGAAATGAAGCTGTGTACTCATGGATAGTGTTGCCCTCTCTTTTACTACCCTATAGACATTGTTCAAGTAGGACTACATTATTCAAATTTGAATTAAAAAATAATTGAATATTTTTCTGGATTATGTGTGGGTATAGGAGTGTGTTCTTTTTTTTTCTCATACGATCATCAGCATACACTGAAGTTCCTCCAGGATGAAAGATGGGGAGGGAAAGAAAGACACTTGTGTGAGAAGAAAAAAATGTGACATAATTTATTATTATTATTATACTTTAAGTTTTAGGGTACATTTGCACAATGTGCAGGTTAGTTACATATGTATACATGTGCCATGCTGGTATGCTGCACCCATTAACTCGTCATTTGAGTTATTTAGCATTAGGTATATCTCCTAAATCCCTCCCCCCCCACCCCACAACAGTCCCCAGAGTGTGATGTTCCCCTTCCTGCGTCCATGTGTTCTCATTGTTCAATTCCCACCTATGAGTGAGAATATGTGATGTTTGGTTTTTTGTTCTTGCGATAGTTTACTGAGAATGATGATTTCCAATTTCATCCATGTCCCTACAAAGGACATGAACTCATCATTTTTTATGGCTGCATAGTATTCCATGGTGTATATGTGCCACATTTTCTTAATCCAGTCTATCATTGTTGGACATTTGGGTTGGTTCCAAGTCTTTGCTATTGTGAATAGTGCTACAATAAACATACGTGTGCATGTGTCTTTATAGCAGCATGATTTATAGTCCTTTGGGTATATACCCAGTAATGGGATGGCTGGGTCAAATGATATTTCTAGTTCTAGATCCCTGAGGAATTGCTACACTGACTTCCACAATGGTTGAACGAGTTTACAGTCCCACCAACAGTGTCAAAGTGTTCCTATATCTCCACATCCTCTCCAGCACCTGTTGTTTCCTGACTTTTTAATGATTGCCATTCTAACTGGTGTGAGATGGTATCTCATTGTGGTTTTGATTTGCATTTCTCTGATGGCCAGTGATGATGAGCATTTTTTCATGTGTTTTTTGGCTGCATAAATGTCTTCCTTTGAGAAGTGTCTGTTCATGTCCTTCACCCACTTTTTGATGGGGTTGTTTGTTTTTTTCTTGTAAATTTGAGTTCATTGTAGATTCTGGATATTAGCCCTTTGTCAGATGAGTAGGTTGTGAAAATTTTCTCCCATTCTGTAGGTTGCCTGTTCACTCTGATGGTAGTCTCTTTTGCTGTGCAGAAGCTCTTTAGTTTAATTAGATCCCATTTGTCAATTTTGGCTTTTGTTGCCATTGGTTTTGGTGTTTTAGACATGAAGTCCTTGCCCATGTCTATGTCCTGAATGGTAACCCTTCATGCTAAAAACTCCCAATAAATTACGTATTGATGGGACATATCTCAAAATAATAAGAGCTATCTATGACAAACCCACAGCCAATATCATACTGAATGAGCAAAAACTGGAAGCATTCCCTTTGAAAACTGGCACAAGACAGGGATGCCCTCTCTCACCACTCCTATTCAACATAGTGTTGGAAGTTCTGGCCAGGGCAATTAGACAGGAGAAGGAAATAAAGGGTATTCAATTAGGAAAAGAGGAAGTCAAATTGTCCCTGTTTGCAGGTGACATGATTGTATATCTAGAAAACCCCATTGTCTCAGCCCAAAATCTCCTTAAGCTGATAGGCAACTTCAGCAAAGTCTCAGGATACAAAATCAATGTGCAAACATCACAAGCATTCTTATACACCAATAACAGACAAACAGAGAGCCAAACCATGAGTGAACTCCCATTCACAATTGCTTCAAAGAGAATAAAATACCTAGGAATCCAACTTACAGGGGATGTGAAGGACCTCTTCAAGGAGAAATACAAACCACTGCTCAATGAAATAAAAGAGGATAGAAACAAATGGAAGAACATTCCGTGCTCATGGGTAGGAAAATCAATATCTTGAAAATGGCCATACTGCCCAAGGTAATTTATAGATTCAATGCCATCCCCATCAAGCTACCAATGACTTTCTTCACAGAATTGGAAAAAACTACTTTACAGTTCATATGGAACCAAAAAAGAGCCCGCATCGCCAAGTCAATCCTAAGCCAAAAGAACAAAGCTGGAGGCATCATGCTACCTGACTTCAAGCTATACTACAAGGCTACAGTAACCAAAACAGCATGGTATTGGTACCAAAACAGAGATATAGATCAATGGAACAGAACAGAGCCCTCAGAAATAACGCCGCATATCTACAACTATCTGATCTTTGACAAACCTGACAAAAACAAGCAATGGGGAAAGGATTCCCTATTGAATAAATGGTGCTGGGAAAACTGGCTAGCCATATGTAGAAAGCTGAAACTGGATCCCTTCCTTACACCTTATACAAAAATTAATTCAAGATGGATTAAAGACTTAAACGTTAGACCTAAAACCATAAAAACCCTAGAAGAAAACCTAGGCATTACCATTCAGGACGTAATTTAAAACTTTTCTTTCTCATTTTCCTACCCTATAACTTCAAGATAAAAGTCATGGTAACAGGGATAAAATTCACAAGATAACTAGGGATCAATATATTTTAAAAAGGGGCATGCCATCCACCTTTATTACCCAACTTCACTCCCTCCCACTGTCTGCATCAGTACAAATACATAGCACTATCTACTTTTTCTGGGACTTAAAATATTCCCAAAGCTATGGGCAGATCATGTGGGAGAAATCACTTGCTATGCTCTTTTGTTTTGTCCTAAGTGTATTTTGTAAGTTATAGACTAGGGAGAGAATCCATGGATACTTTAGGGGCATTCTTAAGTCTGTCTAACTTAAAAATTTGGCATCTAAGAACAAGTTTTCCCAATCTCCTCTGAGTTCCTCAAGGATACAGCTATCCAACTTATGGGGAGTGGCTTAGCACAAGTCATGGACATTCCCATTCTCCCAACATGCAACCAATGTATTTTGACAACAGCCCTTTAACCTTCTAAAAACCCTCAAATTGTTACAAAGCAAACTGAAATCTAAACAACGGATCTAGGGACCATTTAGTTTCCAAAAGCTTCATTCATATAGAAACCAACTGACATTCTAAACTTCAACAGAAAGTAGAATTAGAGTTCCCAGTTCTGATAGTCATATGGGTCTCTGCAAGACACTTTATCTCTTAGATAGATTACTGAGGAAAAATGGCTAGGTGATATCCAAGGTTTCTTCACTTCAGGCATGTTGTGTTATACTTTTGGATACCCATTCATAATTTCTGCCTTATGTGTGAAAGAGATCATATATGTGCAAATACCAACTGATAAACAAGTGTTCATAATTTAACGTGCATTTTATTAGCAAAATTTTAAAATTTACAAATCCAGTGAGATAAACAAAATCCTATCATTTGGACAAGGACATGGATGAAGCTGGAAACCATCATTCTCAGCAAACTAACACAGGAACAGAAAACCAAACATCGCATGTTCTCACTCATAAGTGGGAGTTGAACAATGAGAACACATGGACACAGGGAGGGGAACATCATACACTGGGGCCTGTTGGGGGTTGGGGGGCTAGGGGAGGGATAGCATTAGCAGAAATACCTAATGTAGATGACGGATTGATGGGTGCAGCAAACCATCATGGAACGTGTATACCTATGTAACAAACCTGCACGTTCTGCACATGTATCCCAGAACTTAAAGTATAATAATAATTACTAAAAGATATCATTTGGTACCGATATTGAGCAATTTTAAATTTAAATCTAAAATAATTTGCATCACACTAAAATATTCATGTAAATTTGATGTAATAATGACTGAATGGCTAATAGCTACGGTATGAAAGGATAAGTAGCAGTTACCTGGAGCTTTTATACTGTAAGCATAAGAACTGCCAGTACGTTAAACTATTGATTGAATCTGAGTCACTGCAAACATACCCAAGCCTTAGGAAATTTAAACATATCAGTGATACATTTTCATTTATTAATGAGGACTACTGCAGTAGTTCCCCTTATAACGTTCATATATTGACAACAGTCAAGACAAACCCTACAAAGTACCTATAGGACATCTTTGGCCTTATTAATAATTTAAAGAGGAGAGTCTGTATTTTATTTTAGATTCTGGTCCAAAAAGTAATTTATCTAGAATATTTTTCCCTCATCAATATCCCATTAAATTATCCCCACACATTTTGTTAATTCTTATTAGTTTTTAAATGGTAAACAGAACTAGTTAAATAACAGGTGGATGTGGTTTATATAATGAAATACTTAGAGTTGGTAACACAGGTGAAAACAGGATCCAATTAAGAAATATTTTATCCATTCTGCCTCTTTACTAACATTTAATATGGTTGACTTTTGCAATGATAAACAGACTTCTTCAGAGAAATAAATAGATGCAAACCTTCCCATCCTTCACAGCAAGGCCAACCTTCTCTGGATGCATATTATCCCCATGCTAAGACAGGCCTTTTACATTTTGACCATTAGTTGCATTTACTCAAATGGAGCATTCTAAGTTTTTAATATCTTTATAAATTTCTTACTCAAGTACAGCAGATCTCTTTGTACTGTTAGGATAGACAATTTGGGACACAAAAATGTAAAATACCTTGCTTTTCAGATGTAACTGTTCCCTATTTCTCCCATTTAAAAAGGCATTTATTAACTCAATGCCCACTCTTTAATGCCTGTCTACCATGCAAAATTAGTCAAATATATATACGTGAGTGTGTGTGTATATATCTTCTGGGATATCCCTAAGCTTTAAATTGAAAAATAACAGTTGCTGGCCTGGTATGTTACTTATAGTTAATTGGTTATTTTCAAAAAGGTCAAACTCAACTTCTAAGAAAAAAAAAAAAACATCTTATTGTAAATCATGTTGAATTTGTAAACAGTGAAAATGAAATCCTGACATCAGAGTTTGAAGTTAATCTTCTGCTGACTATTTGTAAATGCATTAAGAAAATGTGTAGCTGTGTTATGTTATTCTGTCTACATTCTCCATATATAATTTAGTATGTCACTCAGGGAAGCCTTGTTTGTCACTAAGTCCAGGACTTGTCTTCAGTTTGTACAGACTTCAAAAGACATTTGCTAAGTGGGTAGGCTTAGAGGTTGACTCATAGTTACAAAATTCAGAGGTGTGTATGTGTGTGTCTCTCTCTCTGTATGTTTATTTGATGTATTATTTATTATAATAAGAAATATAACTGCTAAGTGAAGCATCACAATTTTTGTATGAAACATAACATTATTTTCACATTGCTTTTCACCTGATGAGAATTGACTTCAAACTAGGGCTTTATATTCATATTTTAATGGATAATTGTATCAAACTAAGGTATCGTGATTGGTCATTTCCCTTTAAAGGGTCTGCCAGCCACAGGGGTTGGTAATGGCAACGTTTACACTTCAGAACTTCCTCCCAGAACAGCCAGCAAGAACACCATGTGTGGTCTTAATCAGCTGTGTTTTTTGTAGGTTTTTCTGCAGACCAAGCTCTATTCGCCTCTTTTTCCCTTGGCTTGACTTTTTTTTTAACGATTTATTTCAACTTAGATAAGTTAATAGAACCAGAATGAAGTTACATCCAGATTTTTTGTTTGAAATGTTGCTGCTCCTAGAACTTCATAGACACTCACTCATTTGACCCCAACGTAAGGCTCTTTGGTTCAAATATAGTCTTCAGCACCCTAATCACTGGTGACAAAATGAGTCATAATTTCCCAAGTAACAGAGTCAAAATTAAAGTCTAGAGCAATCATTTAATATATTTTGCTTGTAATTCCAGTTGCACAATAAATGGAATGGATAAAGTTTGGTGAAACCAGGTTGATTATAACACCTTACATTTGCATGAAATGCTGTATTTCACAAAGCCTGTTTGAAACATTACCTCATTTCCATTATAAGTCCAACTCATCTTGACTGAGATTAGCCCAATAGTATATGTGTGTGTCACTGAGGTTCAGAGAAGTTGGGTAATACCTACTAAATAGAATATGTGGGGAAGCCCAAGGGTTGTTGGTAATAATTTTCTTTAGATTAGGATGAATCCTGGTAGACATTTCAAAAGCCATGCCATACATATTTGTTCTTTGATCCTCAAAATATTCTTTATTTATTCAAATGAATGTAGATATTTGTTTAGACTGTAGCTAAATTAATGGGCATTCAAATTTTGTTACCTTCTTTGGGATTTTTCTTGCTCATATTCTAAACATAATTTTCTTTTGACCTTTTGTTTATGAAATAAACAGCTAGCATGAACTTTGGAAAATGAATTTGGGTTTGATACATATTCATCAGATACATTTCTGTTGAAATTGTATTTTTTGTAACTCTCACAGATTTGTGAGGAAACTGTCATAGACAATTACTCAAGATACTTACAAGTTGATGAAAGTACTATAAGAACATCCAAGAGCATTTTATAGCTAAACGTCATTGTTATTATTCACATTTAATTGTCCCAAATTCTCCATGAAAACAACAATCATTACCTAATTCTTTAAATATATTAATAATCCCTATTATAGGACATTCATGTATGTGATAATTGGTGATAATTGTATAAATCACTCATGATGCAAATTTTCCCCCTCAAAAAAATATTATTGAACATGTTTCCAATTTTAATAAAAATTTCATGTCTCTCTAATTATCCCTTGAGTAGAAATCTAATAAAAGGATATGCATACAAAGAAAAAAAAAAGAAAACCAGAGCCATTTTTTAAAATCTCTGCAACCTGAGATAAAATTAAAACTCCTGGAAGTTTTCTTTGAAAATGTCTTGATCTAGGCCAACATTCAAATTTGGAAAATCCAGAGAACTCCAGTAAGATACTCCATAAGAAGATCAACCCCAAGACACATAATCATAATATTCTCCAAGATTGAAATGAAAGAAAATAATGTAAGGGCAGCCAGAGAGAAAGGCCAGGTCACCTACAAAGGAGAGCTCATCAGACTAACAATGGACTTCTCAGGAGAGACACTGCAAGCCAGAAGAAGCTGGGACCAATATTTAACATGCTTAAAGAAAAGAATTTCCAACCCAGAATTTCATATCTGGCTAAACTAAGCTTGATATGCAAAGGAGAAATAGGATTCTTTTCAGACAAGCAAATGCTGAGGGAGTTTGTCACCACCAGGCCTGTCTTGCAAGAGCTCCTGAAGGAAGCACTAAACATGGAAATGACAAACCATTACCAGCCACTACAAAAACATGCTAAAGTGCACAGGGCAGTGACACTATGAAGCAACCACATAAAGAAGTCTGCAAAATAACCAGCTAGCATGATGATGACAGGATCAAATTCATACATAACAATATTAACCTTAAATTTAAATGGGCTAAATTCCTCAATTAAAGACACAGAATGGCAAACTGGAGACAGAGTCAAGTCCTATTGGTGAGCTGTCTTCAAGAGACTCATCTCAAATGAAAAGACACACATAGGCTCAAATTGAAGGGATGAAGGAAAATTTACCAAGCAAATGGAAAACAGAAAAAGAACAGAAGTTGCAATCCTAGTTTCTGGCAAAACAGACTTTAAACCAACCAAGATCATAAAAGACAAAAAGGGCATTAAATGATGGTAAAGGGTTTAACTCACCAAGAAGAGCTAACTCTTCTAAAAATGTGTGCACACAATACAAGAGCACCCAGATTCATAAAGCTAGTTCTTGGAGACTTATAAAGAGACTTAGAATCCTATATAATAATAGTGGGAGACTTTAACACCACACTGACAACATTAGACAGACCATTGAGTCAGAAAATTAACAAAGATATTCAGGACCTGATCTCAGCTCTGTCTCAAGTGGACCTGATAGATATTTACAGAACTCTTCACCAAAACCAACTGAATATTAATTATTCTTATCACCACATGGCATTTACTCTAAAATTGATCACATAATTAGAAGTAAAACACTCCTTAGCAAATACAAAAGAACTGAAATAATAACAAACAGTCTCATGGATCACAGCACAATCAAATTAGAACTCAATATTAAGAAACACACCCCAAACCACACAACTACATGGAAATCAAACAACCTGCTCCTGAATGATTCCTGGGTAAATAATAAAATTAATGCAGAAATCAAGAACTTCTTTGAAACTAATGAGAACACCACACCAAAATATCTGGGATGCAGCTAAAGCAGTGTTGAGAGGGAAAGTTATAACACTAAATGCTCACATCGAAAAGCTAGAAAGATCTCAATAACCTATCATCATGGTTTTTCAAAAAAATTAATAAAATAGACCGCTAGGTAGGCTAATAAAGAAGCAAAGACAGAAGAATCAAGTAGACACAATCATAAATGACAAGGGGGTATCACCACTCACTCCACAGAAATGCAAACAACCATCAGAGAATACTATAAACACCTCTATGCACATAAACTAGAAAATCTAGAAAAAATGAGTAAATTCCTGGATGCATACACCCTCCCAAGACTGAACCAGAAGGAAATGGAATCCCTAAATAGACCAATAACGAGTTCTGAAATTGAGGCAGTGATAAATAGCCTACAAACCAAAAAAGCCCAAGATCAGAAGAATTTACAGCTGAATTCTACCAGAAGTACAAAGAGGAACTGGTACCATTTCTACTGAAACTCTTCCAAACAATTGAAAGAAGGGAATTCTCCCTAACTAATTTTATGAGGCCAGCATCAGCAACATCCTGATACTAAAACCTGGCAGAGATATAACAAAAAAATAAAATTTTAGGCCAATATTTCTGATAAACATCAATGCAAAATTTCTCAATAAAATGCTGGCAAACGAAATCCAGCAGCACATCAAAAAGTTTATCCACCATGATAAAGTTGGCCTCATCCCTGAGATGCAAGGTTGATTCAACATATGCAAATCAATAAATTTAATTCATCACATAAACATAACTAAAGACAAAAACCACATGATTATCTCAACAGAGGTGGAAAAGGCCTTCAATAAAATTCAACATCTCTTCATGTTAAAAACTCTCAATGAAATATGTATTAAAGAATATACCTCAAAGTAATGAGAGTCATATATGACAAATCCACAGACAATATCATACTGAATGGGTAAAAGCTAGAAGTATTCCCCTGGAAAACAGGCACAAGACAAGGATGTCTTCTCGGACCACTCATATTCAATGTAGCATTGGAATTTCTGGCCAGGGCAATAAGACAAGTTAAAGAAATAAAGGGTATTCAAATAAGAAGATATAAAGTCAAATTGTCTTTGTTTGTAGATGATATAATCCTACATCTAGAAAAGTCCATTGTCCCAGCCCAAAAGCTTCTTAAGCTGATAAGCAACTTCAGCAAAGTCTCAGGATACAAAATCCTAAATCACGAGCATTACTATATAACAACAACAGACATACAGGAAGCCAAATCATGAATGAACTCCTGTTCATAATTGCTACAAAGAGAATAAAATACCTGGGAATACAGCTAACAAGGAAAGTGAAGGACCTCTTCAAGGAGAACTGCAAACCACTGCTCGAGGAAATCAGAGAGGATGCAAACAAATGGAAAAACAGGCCATGCTCATGGATAGGAAGATTGAATAACATAAAAACGGCCATACTGTCCAAAGTAATTTATAGATTCAATGCTATTTCCATTAAACTACCATTGACATTCTTCAGAGAATTAGAAAAACTATTTTAAAATTCATATGGAACCAAATAAGAGCCCAAATAGCCAAGGCAATCCTAAGCAAAATGAACAAAGCTGGAGGCATCATGCTACCCAACTTCAAACTATACTACAAGGCTACAGCAACCAAAAGAGCATGGTACTGGTACAAAAACAGACACAGAGACCAATGGTAGAGAATAGATAACTCAGAAATAAGACCACACATATGCAATCATCTGATCTTTGACAAGACTGACAAAAACTAGCAATAACGAATGGATTTCCTATTAAATAAATGGTGCTAGGAGAACTGGCTACCCAAATGCAGAAAAGAAACTAGACTGCTTCCTTACGCCTTATGCAAAACTCAACTCAAGATAGATTAAGGACTTAATTGTAAAAACCCAGAACTATAAAAACCCTGGAACAAAATCTAGGCAATACCATTAAAGACATAGGCATGGGCAAAGGTTTCATGAGGAAAACCTCAAAAGCAATAGCAACAAAAGCAAAAAAATGACAAATGAGATCTAAGTAAACTAGCTTCTGCACAGCAACAAAAAAAGAAATCATCAGAGTAAACAGACAACTTACAGAATGGGAGAATGATGTCTGGGAGAAAAAATTGTCTTCTTGGTGCTTTAGCACAAATCTGAAAAAAAGTCATCTTGCAGGCAGAAGCAAGCCAATTAACTCCACTTAAAGATGTCATGAATGTCAATTTTTACTGCACTTAATACCCAATTTTATTTTTAATAAATAAAGAGTCAGTAAAATGCAAAGCATCAACAGAGGGTGATGATAATGTTCTGGATCAATTTGCATAAGACAAATTTATAGTAAGCCAATTCAGTGAAGAAACAACTTGCCCAGTAATCAACTCAGCATTTTTTTTATTATTTATGACATGTGCAGAATTAATGATGATGGTTAACTTGTTAAAAGGCTCATGGGACTCCAAAACTCCAGAATTCTGCAGGCTTCATACTTTCTGCTTCTTTTTTTAAATAATTATTTAAAAGGTGTTCAAACCATCTAACCTATTATTAATTATTTTAATTTGTAAATAGTCACGAGGAAGAATTTTTTTGTAAAATGGATAAGTTTGGTATTTCTTAGTGACTGAATTTTTTTATTATACTTTAAGTTCTGGGGTACATGTGCACAGCATGCAGGTTTGATACATATGTATACATGTGCCATGTTGGTGCGCTGCACCCAATAACTCGTCATTTACATTAGGTATATCTCCTAATGCTATCCCTCCCCGCTTCCCGCACCCAACAACAGGCCCCAGTGTGTGATGTTCCCCTTCCTGTGTCCAAGGGTTCTCATTGTTCAATTCTCATGGACAAGTGAGAACATGCGGTGTTTGGTTTTTTGTCCCTGAGATAGTTTGCTGAGAATGATGGTTTCCAGCTTCATCCATGTCCCTACAAAGGACATGAACTCATCTTTTTATGGCTGCATAGTATTCCATGGTGTATATGTGCCACATTTTCTTAATCCAGTCTATCATTGATGGACATTTGGGTTGGTTCCAAGTCTTTGCTATTGTGAATAGAATAGTGCCACAATAAACATACGTGTGCATGTGTCTTTACAGCAGCATGATTTATAATCCTTTGGGTATATACCCAGTAATAGGATGGCAGGGTCAAATGGTATTCCTAGTTGTATATCCTTGAGGAATTGCCACACTGCTTCCACAATGGTTGAACTAGCATACAGTCCCAGCAACAGTGTAAAAGTGTTCCTATTTCTCCACATCCTCTCCAGCACCTGTTGTTTCCAGATTTTTTAATGATCACCATTCTAACTGGTGTGAGATGATATCTCATTGTGGTTTTGATTTACATTTCTCTGATGGCCAGTGATGATGAGCATTCTTTCATGTGTCTGTTGGCTGCAAAAATGTCTTCTTTTGAGAAGTGTCTGTTCATATCCTTTGCCCACTTTTTAATGGGGTTGTTTGCTTTTTTCTTGTAAATTTGTTTGAGTTCTTTGTAGATTCTGGATATTAGCCCTTTGTCAGATGAGTAGATTGCAAAAATTTTCTCCCATTCTGTAGGTTGCCTGTTCACTCTGATGGTGGTTTCTTTGCTGTGCAGAAGCTCTTTAGTTTAATTAGACCCCATTTGTCAATTTTGGCTTTTGTTGCCATTGCTTTTGGTGTTTTAGTCATGAAGCCCTTGCCCATGCCTATGTCCTGAATGGTATTGCTTAGGTTTTCTTCTAGGGTTTTTATGGTTTTAGGTCAAACATTTAAGTATTTAATCCATCTTGAAATAATTTTTGTATAAGGTGTAAGGAAGGGATCCAGTTTCAGCTTTCTATATATGGCTAGCCAGTTTTCCCAGCACCATTTATTAAATAGGGAATCCTTAATTTTTTGAAGGGTTTTTTATGTCTCTATTTCCTTCAGTTCTGCTCTGATTTTAGTTATTTCTTGCCTTCTGCTAGCTTTTGAATGTGTTTGCTCTTGCTTTTCTAATTCTTTTAATTGTGATGTTAGGGTGTCAATTTTGGATCTTTCCTCCTTTCTCTTGTGGGCATTTAGTGCTATAAATTTCCCTCTACACACTGCTTCGAATGTGTCCCAGAGATTCTGGTATGCTGTGTCTTTGTTCTCGTTGGTTTCAAAGAACATCTTTATTTCTGCCTTCATTTTGTTATGTACCCCGTAGTCATTCAGGAGCAGGTTGTTCAGTTTCCATGTAGTTGAGCGGTTTTGAGTGAGATTCTTAATCCCGAGTTCTAGTTTGATTGCACTGTGGTCTGAGAGATAGTTTGTTATAATTTCCATTCTTTTACATTTGCTGAGGAGTGCTTTACTTCCAACTATGTGGTCAATTTTGGAATAGGTGTGGTGTGGTGTTGAAAAAAATGTATATTCTGTTGACTTGGGGTGGAGAGTTCTGTAGATGTCTATTAGGTATGCTTGGTGCAGAGCTGAGTTCAATTCCTGGGTATCCTTGTTGACTTTCTGTCTCGTTGATCTGTTTAATGTTGACAGTGGGGTGTTAAAGTCTCCCATTATTAATGTGTGGGAGTGTAAGTCTCTTTGTAAGTCACTCAGAACTTGCTTTATGAATCTGGGTGCTCCTGTATTGGGTGCATGTATATTTAGGATAGTTAGCTCTTCTTGTTGAATTGATCCCTTTACAATTAAGTAATGGTCTTCTTTGTGTCTTTTGATCTTTGTTGGTTTAAAGTCTGTTTTATCAGAGACTACGATTGCAACCCCATCTGACAAAGGGCTAATATCCAGTATCTACAAAGAACTCAAATTTACAAGGAAAAAACAAACAACCCCATCAAAAAGTGGGTGAAGGACATGAATAGACACTTCTCAAAAGGAGACATTTATGCAGCCAAAAAACAGGTGAAAAAATGCTCACCATCACTGGCCATCAGAGAAATGCGAATCAAAACCACAATGAGATACCATCTCACACCAGTTAGAATGGCAATCATTAAAAAGTCAGGAAACAACAGGTGCTGGAGAGGATGTGGAGAAATAGGAACACTTTTACACTGTTGGTGGGACTGTAAACTAGTTCAACCATTGTAGAAGTCAGTGTGGCAATTCCTCAGGGATCTAGAACTAGAAATAGCGTTTGACCCAGCCATCCCATTACTGGGTATATACCCAAAGGACTATAAATCATGCTGCTATAAAGACACATGCACATGTATGTTTATTGCGGCGTTATTCACAATAGCAAAGACTTGGAACCAACCCAAATGTCCAACAATGATAGACTGGATTAAGAAAATGTGGCACATATACACCATGGAATACTATGCAGCCATAAAAAATGATGAGTTCATGTCCTTTGTAGGGACATGGATGAAATTGGAAATCATCATTCTCAGTAAACTATCGCAAGAACAGAAAACCAAACAACGCATATTCTCACTCATAGGTGGGAATTGAACAATGAGAACACATGGACACAGGAAGGGGAACATCACACTCTGGGGACTGTTGTGCAGTGGAGGGAGGGGGGAAGGATAGCATTGGGAGATATACCTAATGATAGATGACGAGTTAGTGGGTGCAGCGCACCAGCATGGCACATGTATACATATGTAACTAACCTGCACATTGTGCACATGTACCCTAAAACTTAAAGTATAATAATAATAAATAAATAAATAAAAAATAGGGAATCCTTTCCCCATTGCTTGTTTTTGTCAGGTTAGTCAAAGATCAGATGGTTGTAGATGTGTGGTATTTTTTCTGAGGGCTCTGTTCTGTTCCATTGGTTTGTATCTCTGTTTTGGCACCAGTACCATGCTGTTTTGATTACCGTAGCCTTGTAGTATAGTTTGAAATCAGGTAGCATGATGCCTCCAGCTTTGTTCTTTTGGCTTAGGATTGTCTTGGCAATGCAGACTCTTTTTTGGATCCATATGAACTTTAAAGTAGTTTTTTCCAATTCTGTGAAGAAAGTCATTGGTAGCTTGATGGGGATGACATTGAATCTATAAATTACCTTGGGCAGTATGGTCATTTTCACGATATTGATTCTTCCTATCCATGAGCATGGAATGTTCTTCTGTTTGTTTTTATCTCTTTTATTTCATTGAGCAGTGGTTTGTAGTTCTCCTTGAAGAAGTCCTTCACATCCCTTGTAGGTTGGATTCCTAGGTATTTTATTCTCTTTGAAGCAATTGTGAATGGGAGTTCACTCATGATTTGGCTCTCTGTTTGTCTCTTATTGGTGTATAGGAATGCTTGTGATTTTTGCAATTGATTTTGTATCCTGAGATTTTGCTGAAGTTGCTTCTCAGTTAAGGAAATTTTGGGCTGAGATGATGGGGTTTCCTAAATATACAATCATGTGATCTGCAAATAGGGACAATTTGACTTCTTTTTTTCCTAATTGAATACCCTTTATTTCCTTCTCCTGCCTTATTGCCCTGGCCAGAACTTCCAACACTATGTTGAATGGGAGTGGTGAGAGAGGGTATCCCTGTCTTTTGCCAGGGAATTTCAAAGGGAATGCTTCCAGTTTTTGCCCATTCAGTATGATATTGGCTGTGGGTTTGTTGTAAATAGCTCTTATTATTTTGAGATATGTCCCATCAATACCTAATTGACTGAGAGTTTTCAGCATGAAGTGCTGTTGGAATTTGTCAAAGGCCTTTTCTGCATCTATTGAGATAATCATGTGGTTTTTGTCTTTGGTTCTGTTTATATGCTGGATTATGTTTACTGATTTGCGTATATTGAACCAGCCTTGCATCCCAGGGATGAAGCCCACTTGATCATGGTGGATAAGCTTTTTGGTGTGCTGCTGGATTTGGTTTGCCAGTATTTTATTGAGGATTTTTACATCGATTTTCATCAGGGATATTGGTCTAAAATTCTCTTTTTTTGTTGTTTCTCTGCCAGGCTTTGGTATCAGGATGATGCTGACCCATAAAATGAGTTAGGGAGGATTCCCTCTTTTTCTATTGATTGGAATAGTTTCAGAAGGATTGGTACCAGTTCCTCCTTGTACCTCTGGTAGAATTTGGAGGTGAATCCCTCTGGTCCTCGACTTTTTTTGGTTGGTAGGCTTCTAATTATTGCCTCAATTTCAGAGACTGTTATTGTTCTATTCAGGGATTCAACTTCTTCCTTGTTTAGTCTTGGGAGGGTGTATGTATCCAGGAATTTACCCATTTCTTCTAGATTTTCTAGTTTATTTGTGTAGAGGTGTTTATAGTATTCTCTGATGGTGGTTTGTATTTCTGTGGGATCGGTGGTGATATCCCCTTTATCATTTTTTATTGTGTCTATTTGAGTCTTCTCTCTTTTCTTCTTTATTAGTCTTGCTAGTGGTCTATCAATTTTATTGATCTTTTCAAAAAACTAGCTCCTGGATTCATTGATTTTTTGAAGGGTTTTTTGTGTCTGTATCTCCTTCATTTCTGCCCTGAACTTAGTTATTTCTTGCCTTCTGCTAGCTTTTGAATGTGTTTGCTCTTGCTTCTGTAGTTCTTTCACTTGTGATGTTAGGGTTTCAATTTTAAATCTTTCCTGCTTTCTCTTGTGGGCATTTAGTGCTATAAATTTTCCTCTACACACTGCTTTGAATGTGTCCTGGAGATTCTGGTATGTTGTGTCTTTGTTCTCATTGGTTTCAAAGAACACTTTTATTTCTGCCTTCATTTCATTATGTACCTAGTAGTCATTCAGGAGCAGGTTGTTCAGTTTCCCTGTAGTTGAATGCTTTTGAGTGAGTTTCTTAATCCTGAGTTCTAGTTTGATTGCACTGTGGTCTGAGAGACAGTTTGTTATAATTTCTGTTCTTTTACATTTGCTGAGGAGTGCTTTACTTCCAACTATGTGGTCAGTTTTGGAATGAGTGCGATGTGGTGCTGAGAATAATGTATATGCTGTTGTTTTGTGGTTGAGAGTTCTGTAGGTGTCTATTAGGTCTGCATGGTGCAGAGTTGAGTTCAGTTCCTGGATATCCTTGTTAACTTTCTGTCTCGTTGATCTGTCTAGTGTTGACAGTGGGGTGTTAAAGTCTCCCGTTATTATTGTGTGAGAGTCTAAGTCTCTTTTTAGTTCTCTAAGGACTTGCTGTATGAATCTGGTTGCTCCTGTGTTGGGTGCATATATGTTTAGAATAGTTAGCTCTTCTTATTAAATTGATCCTTTACCATTGTGTAATGGCCTTCTCTCTTTTGATCTTTGTTGGTTTAAAGTCTGTTTTATCAGAGACGAGGATTGCAACCCCTGCCTTTTTTTGTATTCCTTTTTCTTGGTAGATCTTGCTCCATCCCTTTATTTTGAGCCTATGTGTGTCTCTGCACATGAGATGGGTCTCCTGAATACAGCACACTGATGGGTCTTGACTCTTTATCCAATTTGCCAGTCTGTGTCTTTTAATTGGAGCATTTAGCCCATTTAAACTTAAGGTTAATATTTTTATGTGTGAATTTGGTCCTATCATTGTGATGTTAGCTGGTTATTTTGCTCATTAGTTGATGCAGTTTCTTCCTAGCATTGATGGTCTTTAGAGTTTGGCATGTTATTGCAGTGGATGTTACCGGTTGTTCCTTTCCATGTTTAGTGCTTCCCTCAGGAGCTCTTTTAGGGCAGACCTGGTGGTGACAAAATCTTTCAGCATTTGCTTGTCTGTAAAGGATTTCATTTCTCCTTCACTTATGAAGCTTAGTTTGGCTGGATACGAAATTCTGGGTTGAAAATTCTTTTCTTTAAAAATGTTGAATTTTGGTCCCCACTCTCTTCTGGCTTGTAGAGTTTCTGCCAAGAGATCCGCTGTTAGTCTGATGGGCTTCCCTTTGTGGGTAACCCGACCTTTCTCTCTGGCTGCCCTTAACATTTTTCCTTCATTTCAACTTTGGTGAATCTGATAATTATGTGTCTTGGAGTTGTTGTTCTTGAGGAATATCTTTGTGGCATTCTCTGTATTTCCTGAATTTGAATGTGGCCTGCCTTGCTATGTTGGGGAAGTTCTCCTGGACAATATCCTGCAGAGTGTTTTCCAACTTTGTTCCATCCTCCCTGTCACTTTCAGGTACACCAATCAGATGTAGATTTGGTCTTTTCACATAGTCCCATATTTCTTGGAGGCTTTCTTCATTTCTTTTTACTCTTTTTTCTCTAAACTTCTCTTCTCGCTTCATTTCATTCATTTGATCTTCAATCACTGTTACCCTTTCTTCCTGTTGATTGAATTGGCTATTGAAGCTTGTGCATGTGTCACATAGTTCTCATGCCATGGTTTTCAGCTCCATCAAGTCATTTAAGGACTTCTCTACACTGGTTCTTCTAGTTAGCCATTCATCTAATCTTTTTTCAAAGCTTTTATCTTCTTTGCGATGGGTTCGAACTTCCTCCTTTAGGTCAGAATAGTTTGATCGTCTGAAGCCTTCTTCTGTCAACTCGTCAAAGTCATTCTCCATCCAGTTTTGTTCCATTGCTGGTAAGGAGCTGTGTTCCTTTGGAGGGGGAGAGGCGCTCTGATTTTTAGAATTTTCAGCTTTTCTGCTCTGTTTTTTCCCCATCTTTGTGGTTTTATCTACCTTTCGTCTTTGATGATGGTGACGTACAGATGGTGTTTTGGTGTGGATGTCCTTTCTGTTTGTTAGTTTTCCTTCTAACAGTCAGGACTCTCAACTGCAGGTCTGTTGGAGTTTGCTGGAGGTCCACTCCAGATCTTGTTTTCCTGGGTATCAGCAGCAGAGGCTGCAGAACAGCAAATATTGCTGAACAGCAAATGTTTCTGCCTGATCATTCCTCTGGAAGCTTCTTCTCAGATGGGCACCTGGCCATGTGAGGTTTCTGTCTGCCCCTACTGAGGGGTGCCTCACAGTTAGGCTACTCAGGGGTCAGGGACCCACTTGAGGAGGCAGTCTGTCTGTTCTCAGATCTCAAACTCCATGCTGGGGGACCACTACTCTCTTCCAAGCTGTCAGACAGGGACATTTAAGTTTGCAGAGGTTTCTGCTGCCTTTTGTTTGGCTATGCCCTGCCCCCAGAGGTGGAGTCTACAGAGGCAGGCAGACCTCCTTGAGCTGTGGTGGGCTCCACCCATTTCTAGCTTCCTGGCTGCTTTGTTTACCTACTCAAGCCTCGGCAATGGCAGGCGCCCCTCCCCCAGCCTCGCTGCTGCATTGCAGTTTGATCTCAGACTGCTGTGCTAGCAATGAGCGATGCTCCGTGGGCATGGGACCCTCTGAGCCAGGTGCGGGATATAATCTCCTGGTGTGCCGTTTGCTAAGACCCTTGGAAAAGCTCAGTATTAGGTTGGGAGTGACCCAATTTTCCAGGTGCCATCTGTCATAGCTTTCTTTGGCTGGGAATGGGAATTCCCTGACCCCTTGCACTTCCCGGGTGAGGTAATGCCTTGCTCTGCTTCGGCTCTTGCTCGGTGGACTGCACCCACAGTCCTGCACCCACTGTCCAACAAGTCCCAGTGAGATGAACCCAATACCTCAGTTGGAAATGCAGAAATCACCCATCTTCTGCATTGCTCATGCTGGGAGCTGTAGACTGGAGTTGTTCTTATTCGGCCATCTTGGAACCGCCCCCCCAGTGACTGAAATTTTTAAAATAACTTTATAGTTTTCGAGTTAAAAAAATCATTAAGGTAAACTATTTTATTGAATGAAAGTAGCAAATTCCATACATCATTGTCTTGCCAGTGCTGGGAAGAAACATCAAATATATTTATGCATATGGGTATGTTTTTGTGCTGCTGATAAAGACATACCCAAGACTGGGCAATTTACAAAAGAAAGAGGTTTAATTGGACTTACAGTTCCACATGGTTGGGGAAGCCTCACAATCATGGTGAAAGGCAAGGAAGAACAGGTCACGTCTTATATGGATGGCAGTGGGCCAAGAGAGAACTTGTGCAGAGAAACTCCTGTTTTTAAATCCATTGGATCTCATGAGACCCATTCACTATCATGAGAACAGCCTGGGAAACACTCACCCCATGATTCAATCATGTCCCACTGGGTCCCTCTCACAACATGTGGGAGTTATGGGAGCTACAAGATAAGGTTTGGGTGGGGACACAGAGGCAAAACATATCAATATGTGTAGATATGTACACATAGATGTACATATACACACACATACATATACATGTACACATATGCATATATATATATATATATATATATATATTTAATGTTGTTGCTGGACAGTGATCCCTGAGAAACAGGAAACACATGAAGTTAATATTACAATTGCCCCCAATAGAATCACTGTCCTATATATACATACATGTATATAGTGATATATACGTACATGTATATAGTGATATATACGTACATGTATATAGTGATATATACGTACATGTATATAGTGATATATACGTACATGTATATAGTGATATATACGTACATGTATATAGTGATATATACGTACATGTATATAGTGATATATACGTACATGTATATAGTGATATATACGTACATGTATATAGTGATATATACGTACATGTATATAGTGATATATATACGTACATGTATATAGTGATATATACATATACACACACATATGTGTGTCTGTGTGTGTTTAAAGTATTTTATTTGTTTGATGCCATGTGAGACAGAAAACTCTTTTCTTCATCTCCACAACCTGCATTTGAAACAAATGTGCCATGAAGGAAAAAAGGAAGGGAACTCACACTTTATGAAGAGATAGGATTTACATTCATTAAAATACAATCTGTCAGAAAATAGTTGATCAAGTACTAATTGATTTGGTGGAGATATCAAATAAAGATAAGAGGCAGCTGAATTTGAGCCAAGTATTTGGGGAGATATGAGACTTCAAGTAAATGTAGAATCTAGATTGGCGTCATTCAGACTTTTCTTTGGTCAAGAGCAGCACTGTATATTAAATAAGACATTAGCAGTAAACATGTAAGAGAGCTGTTAGTAAAGCGGGAAATTCTGTTGCATTCTTTTCTTTTGTGGAATGTAAATCTTTTATTAAAACAGCTGTCTTTCCACAGTAGTAAAGCTTTGGCACATACAGTATAAAAAATAATCACCCACCATAATTATACCAAATTCCTCTTATCAACTGCATACTAAGTGTTCTCAATACAATTTTTTCCGTATAAAAATATTGGGAAAAATTGATAAATAACAGGTAAGAGAAAGATATTTCTAGGCAATTACTAGGATCATTTGGAAAAAGTGAATACTGTGGATATTTTAAATCTCACAGTAACAAGGTCATGCTTGTTCCTACAGTATTGCGGGCCAGACACTTAAGTGAAAGCAGAAGTGTTTGGGTGACTTTCCTACTTAAAATTTTAGTCATATCATTTCAAAACATTTGCATCTTGGTTGGCTGCATATGCTTTCCTATTGATCCCAAACGAAATCACAAGTTAGAATCACTTCATTTAAAATACTGAGCCGTATTAAATACTTTGAAGCAGAACAGGCAACGTGCAGCCCTCATTTATGAGAAAACTCTCAGGACACTCCCAGGGTGATGCTTGGAGAAGCTGTGAGTTGAGCTGAAGCTGGAGAACTTCCTCCAGAGCAAAGGGCTTAAGAAAGAAACAAGAACTCTAAGATGGGTCTGCTAACATCTTGTAGTTACACTGATAAACCTGCCTATCTAGGAAGCCAGGACAATATTGACATACCAAAGGAAAATCATAATAAATTTAAATCTAAAAGGAGGATAATTAAAACTTAAACTGTAATAAAAAAATTTAAATGATAATCCATACCACTTCACTAAACAAGATATTTAGAGCCCCCTAATATATTTTATAAAGGGAATTAAGTAACAAAATTTGCACAGATTAATCAGAACACTCTTCATCAAACTGAATAGCATAACTAAATTTGAGAATATTGGAGCATTAATAGAATCAGTTGCTATATTATAAGAAAATTCCAAATTAAACTCTTGCTGAAGAAGATTCAAGGACTAATGGATTTAATATTTTGTATTCATGACTAAAGAAAATATTAAGCTTAATAAATATCTATGATATGTAAGGTCTTTTTTACAAATGTCATCTCATTTAATCATTAAAATATACTTGTGAGATAGCTTTAAGTGTTATCCTGTTTTAAAGATTAGGAAAGTAAAACACAAAAATGTTAAATATTATGCCCAAGATAACACAAAAAATATTGATACCTATATTTTAACCAGGATCTGTCTATCCTTTGAAATTATTCCCTCACCACAGTAGCCCAAATCAATCTTACTTACCTCTCAATTTCTATAGCATTTAGACATCACACAATTTATTTACAACCTGATATAAATGAGCTTTTATTCATTAAAGATTTTATCTGTTACTTCCTAACATATAGATAGTTCATTAAAAGCATGAAGTTTATAGCACATCTTTTGTCTTTCCACCACCACATTTCTAATGAAACTTAACATATAAATGAGCACTTGGTAAGTTCTCAGCAACCATCATGGCTGATCTATTTATGTCTTTCTGTAAATATACACTTTAAGATGTGCCTTCTAAGATTAAGTAAATGAAAACTGCTTCTGGCCAAGATTTAGTACTGGGCATCACATTTACCCTCCTATCAGAAACAAATGAAGAAAGACAAAAATATGTGAAATAATGCTTATCAAGATTCTTGGCATCCAGCAACAAAAAACAGTGATCCCTGAGAAGCAGGAAACAAATGAAGTTAATCTTAAAACTGCCCCAAGTTTATTGCCTTGAGAGAGTTTCTAGGCCATGATTTAGGAGGCAGAAGTGAAGAGGAGC
Organism: Homo sapiens; assembly: GCF_000001405.40. Lineage (NCBI taxonomy): Eukaryota > Metazoa > Chordata > Mammalia > Primates > Hominidae > Homo > Homo sapiens. The sequence continues at coordinate 81,680,750 of NC_000023.11, read as the reverse complement.
CTGGCAGACTCCCTGGGTTAAAGATATAGAGCTGAGAGTCAGGTAAGACTGAAGTTAGGACAATTCACAAAAAGGAGTACTGGAGAGAAGAGAACCGCAAAAATAACAAAACTCAGGAGATCTGCAAAGGGTCAAGCTTGAGTATAGAGCACAGTACAATTCAACACACGAGTGTGTTGAAACCGAGGCTGGATAAAGAACTGTCTGAAAGTATTAAATGTAACAATGCCTGGCATTGCAACAGGATGAGAAATAGTACCTATTGATCACCAACCAGAGTGAAATATCTCACCATTCTTGAAGCATGAGACAGGGTATTCAGGAGGATCTTTTCTACGTAGTGGAAAACAATTAGCACTATCTAAACATGACTGTGGTTATGCATAACATATTTTTTAAAAAACAAGACCTAAAATAATCAAACAGTTTACAAGTAATTTAACTGCATTTCTGACTAAAGCTTAATATTTACAGGAATACAAAATATTGGAAAACCAAAAATGTAAAAATTACAATATCTGACAGCCAATGAAAAGGTATAAGCTGAGAAAGATGGCTGATTAGGAAGCTCTAAACCCTTATTTCCCCATAGAAATACCAAGTGGGCAACTCCTGAGCATAGTGTGGCATGGACAAGATAAGGTTGTCAAATTCCTCATCCTTTTCTCAGGCTGGAATGCAAAAAAAAAAAAAAAGAACTTTCTTGCAATGTGCTAGCTTGTCTGGGGGTTACCTGAGATTCTGTCTCAAAAGACTTGCAGCAGTGAAAGCAACAAGGATATGCTTTGGGTATTAGGATGGAGGATGCTAAAGGCAGGAGTGGGTACAGAGGAATATGAAAACTGCAGGGAGACTACAGTCCTTTATGTGTCTGGGGGTAAGAGATTATAAGCACAGGGACAACAGAACATCTATAGCCCTGAGAATAAGCAGGGGGTAGACTCTTTAAAAAATTGACATTTAAAAGCAACCACGTGTACAGGAGAATTGGGAGAAAAACACATGAACAGGCTGAAGGAAAATGCATGCCTAGAAAAGTCCTGAAAAGACCTTAAACTGTCAAGTAAGGCTGATTACTGAAGGTCTTCTCCTGCACAAAGGCTGGGAGAAGTCGATATTTTTAATGTCTAATTTTCAACAAAACATAGCCATGTTTAAACTAGAAAACAGAGCCCATGCCAAAGGAAAAAGTATAGTTACAAATACCACTCATGAAGAAACACAGACATCACTAGGACTTTAAAAGAACTATTTTAAATTTGCTCAAAGGGGCCAAGCGCAGTAGCTCACACCACCTGGCACTTTGGGAGGCTAAGGCAAGCAGCCTGCTTGAGCTCAGAATTTGAGAGCAGCCTCAGCAACATGGCAAAACCCTGTCTCTACAAAATACCAAAATATCAGCCAGGAATGGTGGCATGCACCTGTAGCCCAAGCTACTTGGGGGGCTTAGGTGGGAGGATTTCTTGAGTGCAGGAGGTCAAGGCTGCAGTGAGCTGAAATTGAGCCACTGCACTCCAGCCTGGCTGAAAAAGTGAAACCCTGTATCAAAAATAAAAATTAAATTAAATTAATTTGCATAAAGAGCTAAGGGAAAACATAGATAAAGAAATATAAAAAATCAGAAAAACAATGTATAAAGAGAATGAGATTACTGACAAATAAAAAGTATTAATGGGAAGAAAGTCAAAATTCTGGAGTTGAAAAACACAACAACTAAATTTAAACATTCTACAGAGGGATTCAAAAGCAGACTTGAAAAGGCAAAAGATATGATCAGCAAACCTGAAAACGGGTCATTTATAAATATCTAATCTGAAGAGGAAAAGAAAAAAAATTAAGTTTGAACAAAGCCTAAGGGACATATGGGAGACCATCAAGCAAACAATATAAATATTATAAAAATTCCAGAAAAAGAAGATAGAAGTAAACGGCAGAGCATTATTTGGAAAAATAATAACCAAAAACTTTTCAAATTGTGAGAATGGGATGGATATAAATATCTAAGAATCTCAATGAACTCCGAGTGGGCTAAAACCAGAGACCAGCATTGAAACACATTATAATCAAATTGCCAAAAGTCAAAGAAACAATTCTGAAAAGGACAAGAGATAAGGTACTGATTATAAGAAGTAAGTCTCTATGAGATTATTAGTGGATCTATAAGCAGAAAACTTGCAGTCCAAATAGCAGTAAGATGAGAGATTCTAAGAGCTGAAAAAAACTTGTTATCTATAAGATCTATATTCAGCAAAGCTATCATTCCAAAAACAAGGAAGAAATTAAGATATTCTCAGATAAATAAAAGCTGAAGAAGATCATTACCATTAGACTTGACATAAAAGAAATGTTAAAGGGAGATTTTCAAGTTGAAATGAAAGGGTGATAAGTAGTCACATAGAGCCACATTAAAATATAGTGTTCCAAGATAAAATTAAAAAAATAGCATTATGGTAATTTTGGTTCATAACTCTACTTTTTATACTTTTAAAGCACTTTAAGACAAAAGCTTAAAATAGTTACAAATCTCTATTAATGTGTATATACTTCATAAAGATGTAATATGAGACAAAAGTAACATAACACAGAAGAGGTGAAGCCGTAAAGAAGTAGAGTTTTTGAATACAAGTCAAATTAAATTGTTATCAGTTTACAATAGATTGTTAGAATGTTAACCTGTTATATGTAATCCCCATGTAATCTACAAAGAAAATATCTGTAGAATATTTGCAAAAGGCAATTAAAGGAGAATCTAAGTGTGTCACTACAAAACAATCCACTAAATACAAACATAGGCAATAAGGCAGAATATGAGAAACAAAAATAGCTATAAAATGTATAGAAAACAAATAACAAAATGGCAATAGTAAGTCCCTCTCTATCAATAATTACCTTACATGTAAATTGATGCAACCTGAATGAATTAAGAAATCCAAGTATATGTTGTCTACATGACACTTTACATGTAAGGGCATGCATAGGTTAAATTAGAAAGAATAAAAAAGTTTATACATATAGCGTTCAAAAGAGAGCAGGGGTGGAGATACTAATATTGGGCAAACTAAACTTTAAGTCAAAAACTGTAACAAAACACAAAAATGGACATTAAAAATGATGAAAATGTCAATTTACCAAAAAGATATAACAATTATAAAAACATATGTGCCACACATTAGGATTCCGGAATATATGAACCAAATATTAAAGGAATTGAAGGAACAAATACACAGATCTACAATAATAATAGGAGATTTCAGTACCACACATTAAATAATAAATAGAACAACCAGAGACAAGCTGAATTAGGAAATAGAGGACTTGACCAACACTATAAACCAATTGGATCTAAATGCCATTTTTAGAACATTCCACCCAAGAATAATAGATTGCACATTTTCCTCAAGTGCACATGGAACATCCTACAGGATAGACTATATGTTACACTACAAAACAATACTTAATGAATTTAAAAAGGTTAAAATCATACAAAGTATATTTTCCAAACACAATGAAATATAAATAGAAATCAGTAGTAGAAGGAAAACTGTATGATGCACAAATATATGGAAATTTTAAAAATGCCCTAAGCAACAAACTGGCCAAAGAAGAAAACACAAGGGAAATAAGAAAATATTTTATGACAAATAAAAAAAAACAAACAGAATATGCTTAAACATATTGAATGCAGTGGAAACAGTCTAACAAGATAATTTATAGCTGTAAACACAAGAAAAATATATATTTCAAGTCAGCAACCTAATATTATACCTTAAAAAATAGGAAAAAAGGACAAATTTAAACCTAAAGTTAACAGAATGAAGGAAATAATAAAGACTACAGCAGAGATAAATAAATAGAGAATTACAAACAATTGAAATGATCAATAAAAGTAAGATTTGGTTCTTTGAAAAGATCAACAAAATTGAAAAAGAATATTAACAAGACTGAGCAAGGAAAAAGGCAGAAGAGACTCAATTAACTACAGTAAGAAATGAAATGAGAAATATTACTAGATATTTTACATAAACAAAATAATTATAAGTATATATGAAAAACCGAACATTTGTAGTGGTTCATGCCTGTAACCCCAGCACTTTGGTAGGCTGAGGTGGGAGGGTTGCTTGAGTCCAGGATTTTGTTATAAGCCTGGGCAACATGGTAAGACCTTGTCTCTATGAAACATAAAACAATTGCTGGGCATGGGGGTGCAATGCCTGTATCCCCAGCTACTCAGGAGGCTGATGTGGGTGGATGGCTCAAACCCAGGAGATGGAGGCTCAGTGAGCTATGACTGTGCAATTTCACCCTCGCTTGGGCAACAGAGTGAGACCTTGTCTGAAAAAAAACTAAAGAAAAGAAAACTTTATAAAAATATGTATGACAAAAAACCTAGATAACCTACACGAAATGAATATATTTCTAGAAACACACAACCAAGATTGAATCATGAATAAATAGAAAATCTCAGCGTAACTATTAAGGGGATTAATCAATAATAAAAAAAATCTTCCAACAAAGAAAAGCCTGGGACTAGATGACTTCATTGGAGAATTTTACCAAACATTGAAAGAATAATTAATAATAATCCTCTTTAAATTCTTTTGAAAAATTGAAGAGGAGGTAACAATCTCAAATTTATTATACAAAGACAGCATTACTTTAATACCAAAGCCAGACAAAGACACAAGAAAACTAGACAATCATGTATCTGATGACTATAGATGCAAAAATATTCAGCAAAATACTTGCTAAATGATCTTAACAGCACTTTTAACATACTATACACCATGATAAAGTAAGATTTATCCTTGGAGCACATGGAAATTTCAACAAAAATCAAACAATGTAATATACCATATTAACAGGATGAAATGATAAAAAGACTTGACAGTTTCAATTAATACATAAAAAGCATTGGACAAAATTTTACCCACTTTTTTTATTATTATTATACTTTAAGTTTTAGAGTACATGTGCACCATGTGCAGGTTAGTTACATATGTATACATGTGCCATGCTGGTGTGCTGCACCCATTAACTCGTCATTTAGCATTAGGTATATCTCCTAATGCTATCCCTCCCCACTCCCCCCACCCCACAACAGGCCCCGGTGTGTGATGTTCCCCTTCCTGTGTCCATGTGTTCTCATTGTTCAATTCCCACCTATGAGCGAGAACATGCAGTGTTTGGTTTTTTGTCCTTGTGATAGTTTACTGAGAATGATGATTTCCAATTTCATCCATGTCCCTACAAAGAACATGAACTCATCATTTTTTATGGCTGCATAGTATTCCATGGTGTATATGTGCCACATTTTCTTAATCCAGTCCATCCTTGTTGGACATTTGGGTTGGTTCCAAGGCTTTGCTATTGTGAATAATGCCACAATAAACATACATGTGCATGTGTCTTTATAGCAGCATGATTTATAGTCCTTTGGGTATATACCCAGTAATGGGATGGCTGGGTCAAATGGTATTTCTAGTTCTAGATCCCTGAGGAATCGCCACACTGACTTCCACAATGGTTGAACTAGTTCACACTCCCACCAACAGTGTCAAAGTGTTCCTATTTCTCCACATCCTCTCCAGCACCTGTGGTTTCCTGACTTTTTAATGATTGCCATTCTAACTGGTGTGAGATGGTATCTCATTGTGGTTTTGATTTGCATTTCTCTGATGACCAGTGATGATGAGCATTTTTTCATGTGTCTTTTGGCTGCAAGTAATAGGAAGAAACATTTTCAGCATAATAATAGTCCATATATGAAAGGCTCACAGCTAACATCATACTTAGTGGTGAAAAAAATAAAAGCTTTTCTGATAAGATCAAAAACAAGACAAGAATGTCTGTATTCAGTAGTTCTATTCAACACAGTATTGGAAGTCCTAGAAAGAACAATTGGGTGAGATAAAAGAAAGAAAAGAAAAGCAAATTAGAAAAGCAGAAGTAAGAATATCTCTGCTTAAAAACATCATGATTTGATGTCCGAAAATCCTACAGATTTCACAAAATGTTAGACAAAATAAGTGAATTCAGCAAATTTTCAGAATACAATATCAACACACAAAATAAGTTGCATTTGTATACACAAAAGAATAATCTGAAAGTTAAGAAAACAATTCTATTTACAATAGTATAAAAAATAATGAAACACTTAAGAATAAACTTAACCAAAGGGGTGAATGACATATACTGAAAATTATGAAACATTGTTGAAAAAAAATAAACAAGAAATCAATAAATGAAAAGGCAACCCATTTTCATCCGTTTGAATACTTGAGAATGTCTGGATGTCAGTACCACAAAGAAATCTACAGATTGAGTGCAATCATTATTAAACTGCATTTATTACAGAAAAAGAAAAGTTTATTCTAAAATTTATGTGGAAACCTCCAGGGATCAGAAAAGCATAAGCATACTTGAAAAAGAAGAACAAAGTTGGGTTGGGATTTTCTGATATCAAAACTTAGTACAAAGCTACAGTGAAAACAGTGTGATAATGATATAAAAACAGAACTATAGACCAATGGAATAAAATAGAGAGCTCTGAAATAAACTATATAAACCCTGGAAAGTATATAAATAAATATATATATAAATATATATAAAAATATATCTAAATATCTAAATATATCTAAATATATCTAAATATATAAATATATATAAACAATATATATAAATATATATAAACATATATAAATAATATATATAAATATATATCAATATATGTAAATATGTATAAATATATAAATATATATATAAATATATCTAAATATATAAAAATATATATATAAATATATAAAAATATATAAATATATATAAATACATAAATATATATAAAATATGTCTAAATATATCTAAATATATAAATATATAAAAATATAAAAATATATAAAAATATATATATAAATATATATATAAATATATATATTTAAATATATCTAAATATATATCTAGATATATCTAGATATATTTAAATATATATATGAATATATATGAATATATATAAATATATATCTAAATATATACAAATATATATAAATATATCTAAATATATACAAATATATATATAAATATATCTAAATATATATAAATATATACAAATATATATAAATATATATAAATATATACAAATATTTATAAATATATATATATAAACATATATGTAAATATATATAAATATATATATAAATATATATATGTAAATATATATAAATATATATAAATATATATATGTAAATACATATGAATATATATAATATATAAATATATAGAAATATATAGAAATATATAGAAATATATAGAAATATGTATGTATAATATATAAATATATAAATGTATATATAAATATATAAATATATAGAAATACATATATAAATATATAGAAATACATATATAAATATATAGAAATATATATAAATATATAGAAATATGTATATAAATATATATAAATATATATGAATACATATATAAATATATATATATGCATGCATATACACATACACGTATGTTTTTAATTCTGTAAGGAATCTCTATACTGTCTTCCATAGTTGTTATACTAGATTACATTCCCACCAGCAGTGTAAAAGTGTTCCACTTTTACCACATCCAGGCCAACATCTATTATTTTTCATAATTGCATACATTTTTTGAATATGCATTCAAAAAATGTATTTTACATTATATATAACAACTAAGTAAAAATGAATTAAAGATCTAAATGTAAAACCAAAAACTATAAATTTTCTATAGTACAAAAACTATAACATTTTTTCTAAAATTTGTAAGAAAATTTATGAAGAAAGCTTCATGGCATTGAGTTTAGAGATTATATTTTTGGAAATTTCACCCCAAACACAGATAACACAAGAAAGAATAGCCAAATTAGATTATAGCAGTACTAAATATTTCTGTGCAACAAAAGACACAATCAATAAAGTAAAAGGCAACTCACAAAATGGAGAAAATATATGCAAGTTATATATCTGAAAGGGGTTAATATCCAGAATATATTCTGAATATATTAAAATAATTTGTACATCTCAACAATGGCAAAAAACAACCCATTTAAAAATTGAGCAAAATTTTTGATTATACATTTCTCCAAAGAAATATACAAATAGCCAATAAAAATATGTAAAGATGCTCAACATCTGTAATTATAAGGGAAATGAATGTGAAAACCACATGAGATACCACTTCACACTGCTTAGGATGGCTATTGTTAAAATAATAACAATCGTCATCGTCTCATATTTTTGCAATTGCCAATTGTGCTGCTATAAACATGCATGCGCATGTGGCCTTTTCATGTAATGATTTCTTTTCCTTTGGGTAGATACCCAGTAGTGGGATTGTTGGATTGAATGACAGTTCTATTCTTATTTCTTTAAGGAATCTCCGTACTGTTTTCTATAGTAGCTGTATTAGATTACATTCCCACCAACAGTTTCAAACTGTTCCATTTTTGCCACATCCAGCAAATATCTATTTTTTCATTTTATTTTTTAAATATGACCATTCTTGCAGGACTCAGGTGGTATTTCATTGAGGTTTTAATTTGCATTTTCCTGATTATTTGTGATCTTGAGCATTTATTCATATGTTTGTTGGCTATTTGTATATGTTCTTTTGAGAATTGTCTTTTCATGTCCTTCGCCCATTTTTTGATGGCATTATTATTTTTTTTCTTGTTGATGTGTTTGAGTTCCTTGCAGATTCTGGATATTAGTCCTTTGTCAGATGCATAGTTTTCAAATATTTTCTCCCACTCTGCAGGCTATTTCTGCTGATTATCTATTTTGCTGTGTAGAAACTTTTTAGTTTAATTAGGTCCTATTTATGTATTTTTATTTTTGTTGCATTTGCTTTTGAGTTCTTAGTCATAAATTCTTTGCCCAAGCTAATGTCTAGAAGAGTTATTCGGATGTTATCTTCTAGAATTCTTATGGTTCCAGGTCTTAGATTTAAAAAATATGGAACCAACCTAAATGCCCATCAACCAACAAGTAGATAAAGAAGATGTGGTATATATACACTATGGAATACTACTCAGCCATAAAACGGAACAAAATGATGGCCTTTGTAGCAACTTGCATTGGAGCTGGAGGTCAGTATTCTAAGTGAAATAACTCAGGAATGGAAAACCAAATATTGTATGTTCTCATTTATAAGTGGAAGCTAAGCTATGAGGATGTGAAGGCATAAGAACGATATGATGGACTTTGGCAACTCAAGGAAGAGTGGGAGGGTGGTGAGGGATAAAAGACTATGTATTGGGTACAGTGTATATTGTTTGGGTTATGGGTGCACCAAAATCTCAGAATCACCACTAAAGAACTTATCTATGTAACCAAAAACCAATTTGTACCCCCAAAACTATTGAAATAAAATTTTAAAAAACCCTGAAAATAAAAAGTGTTTGAAAGAATGTGGAAAAAAACCCTTTTGTTCTGCAGGTAGGAATATAAAATTATGTATCCACTGTGGCAAACAGTATGGTGGTTCCTCAAAAAATTAAACATGGAATTACCATATGATCCAGCATTTACGTTGCTAGGAACACACTGAATAGATTTGAAAGCAGGGGCTTGAAGTGTTATTTGCCTACCCATGTTCTTAGCAGCATTATTTACAATGACCAAAAGGTGGAAACAACCCAATGTCCATTAATGAATAAATGGATAAACAAAATGTGCTATGTACATACAATGGAATATTATTTACCCTTAAAAGGAAAGCAATTCTGACACATTTTAAAGCATAGTAAGTATTGTGGATATTAAACTAAGTGAAATAATACACACAATAAATGGACAAATATTTTATACTTTCACTTATAAGCAATATGTAGAATAGTTAAATTTTTTATTCATGTCTTTAGCCCACTTTTTGATGGGATTGTTTGTTTTTTTTCTTGCTAATTTGTTTGAGTTCATTGTAGATTCTGGATATTAGTCATTTGTCAGATGCATAGATTGTGAAGATATTCTCCCACTCTGTGGGTTGTCTGTTTACTCTGTTGATTGTTCCTCTTGCCGTGCAAAAACTCTTTAATTTAATTAATTCCCGGCTATTTATCTTTGTTTTATTGCATTTGCTTTTGGGTTCTTGGTCATGAAATCCTTGTGTAAGCCAATGTCTAGAAAGATTTTTCCAATGTTCTAGAATTTTCATAGTTTCCGGTCTTAGATTTAAGTCCATGATCCATCTTGAGTTGAATTTTTGTATAAGGTGAGAGATGAGGATCCAGTTTCATTCTCCTACATGTGAATTGCCAATTGTCCCACCACCATTTGTTGAATAGGGTGTTCTCAAAAGAAGATATACAAATGGCCAAAATTCATGAAAAATGCTCAACATCATTAATAAGCAGGGAAATGTACATCAAAACAACAGTGAAATACCACTTTATTCCTGCAAGAATGGCCATAATAAAAAAATAATAGATGTTGTCATACATGCAGTGAGCAGGGGCACTTCTACACTGCTGGTGGGAAAGTAAACTAGTACAATCACTATGGAAAACAGTGTGGAGATTCCTTACAGAACTAAAAATAGAACTACCATTTGATCCAGCAATCCCACTACTGGGTATCTGCCCAGAGGAAAATAAGTTATTACGAAAAAGATACTTAACACACACATGCTTATGGCAGCACAATTTGCAACTGCAAAAAATGTGGAACCAACCCAAATGCCTATCAATCAACAAGTAGATAAAGAAACTGTGCTACATATATATGATGGAATACTACTCAGGCATAAAAAGGAATGAGTTGTTGGCATTCACAGAAACCTGAATGGGATTGGAGTCTATCATTCTAAGTGAAGTAATTCAGGAATGGAAAATCAAACATTGTATGTTCTCACTCACAAGTGGGAGCTAAACTTTGAGGATCCACAGGCATAAAAGTGACACAATGGATTTTGGAGGCTCAGGGGAAAAGGGTGCGAAGGGGATGAGGAACAAATGAGTACAAATCAGGTTCAGTGTATACTGCTTGGGTGATGGGCGCACTGAAATCTCACAAATCACTACAAAAAAAGTATTTGTGTAACCAAATACTATCTGTTCCCCAAAAACCTATGGAAATTAAAAAAAATAGTTAAATTTATACAGAAAATAGAAGGGTGATTACAAGCAGCTGGAAGTAGAAGAGAAGAGGGAGTTGTTAAATGGGTATAGATTTTTAGTTTTACAATATAAAGAGATCTAGAGATCAGTTGCACAACAACGTGAATGTACTTAACGCTACTGAATTGTACACTTTAAAAAAGTTAAGATGGCAATTTTATTGTTATATGTATTTTACCAGAATTTTAAAATAAGAAATTCTGACACATTCAACAAAATATATAAACCTCAAAGACAAGCTAAGTGAAATAAGCCAGTCACAAAAAAGCAAATATTTTATGATTAAAATTATATGAGGCATTTAGAGTAGTCGCATTCATAGAGACAAAAAGTAAAATGGTGGTTGACAAGAAATGTGTAGGAGATAATGGAGTTTTAGTTTCGCAATATAAAAAGAGTTTCTGGATAGATTGTGGTGATTGTAGTACAACAATGTAAGTATGCTTATTGCCACTGAATTTTGCACTTTAAATTGGCTCATATTATCAATCTTATGTCACGTGGATTGTACAATTTAAATAAATAAATAAGTAAATAAGCAACTGCCCTCCTAATAAAGTAACAGGCACAGAAAGATGTAAGAAAATATCATATACAATGAGCAAAAATATCAGTGTATTAAAGAGGACCCAAAACTTCCATGGGTACTAGAAATAACTCACAAAGACATTAAAACAGTTGTAATTGTATTATGTGTGCTCAAAAGCTTAGAGACGTGAAAAATATAAACAATAACCAATCAATCTTCCAGAGATGGAAATTGCAATGTCTATATAAAAATACATAATAGCAGACTAGACTTTGCATAAGACTAGATTTGTGACCTTAAAGATATAGGAATATAAACCATCCAAAATCAATAGAGAAATTAATAAGACTTACAAAGTTTTTTTGTTAAAGTTAAGTACAAGTTCACTCTGAAACAGGATATCATATCATCTGTAAAATAGTTTGGCATTTTCTTACAAAACTAAACATGCACTTACCAAATAACACAGCAATCAAACTTTTGATCATTTAAACTACAGAAATTAAAACATGTGTTTACACAAAGTCTGTAGACACATATTTGTAGCAGCATTATTCATAATAGCCAAAATTTGAAAGAAATTTCCATATCCTTCAACGTGTATATGGTTAAACCCACTGATATATCTGTTCTATGCAATACTACCAAGAAATAAAGAGGAAATAATTATTTGTACATAAAACAACTTGGGTGGATTGCAAAGGTAAAAAAAAAAAAAAGCCAATCTCAAAATGTTACATAATGCATGCTTTCATTTATATAACATAGTGGAAATGGCAAACATCATAAGATTAAAAAAAGTTGTGGTCGTAAAAAGTTACAGCTGGACAGGAGAAGAGATATGTGTGACTACAAAAGATTAGCATCAGAGAGATTTTTGTGGTAGTGGAATGGGTCTACATCTTGATTTCAGTGGTGGTGACACAAACTTACATGTGTAGTGACATGGCAAAATCTATATATGTGCATTGTACATGGTCAATTTCATATTTTGATATTGTCCTACAGGTATGTAAAACGATTCAGATTCTATGGGCCATTGGGTAAATTAAACTTATGCCTCAGTATGGGAAAATAATATTTGTAGAACAAATGGTTCTCTGGTCCTTCCTAAAAATCTGTTATAAACAAAACTGGAAGGGATGAACTTTTTCAGTAAATTAACTGTGTCCCAGAACAAAGTATATAAATTTGTGAATAGTTATAGAAATACAAAGTATCTAGCATTTAACCAGGTGAAATAATACCTTGCATACAATAAAAAATATTCAGGCAGGCAAGGAAGCAAAAAATATTACCCATAATGAAAAGAAAAATAAATCAAGGAAGTCTCAGAATGGACCCAGATGACAAAATTAACAGAAAAAAAGATATTAAAAGAGTTATTATAACTATATTCCATATATTTAAAAATTTAGGCAGAGACATGGAAGACATTAAGAAAGGAAGTCTCAAATTTATCTTCTAGAGATTACAACTGCAATATCTGTGATGAAAAATACACTAGATGAGAGAAATGGTAGATTAGTAAACACAGAAAAGATTACTTAATGTAAAAGCATAGCAATAAAACCTCTCCAAAATTAAACACAAGAAGAAAGATAATTTTTAAAAATGAAAAATGCATCAATAAGTTGTGAGACAATTCAAGGAGCCTGAAGAACATGAGAAAGGAGATCAGAAAAATATTTGAAGAAATATGGAATAAGGTTTTAAAAAGAAATAAAATTTTCTAAATTTGATGAAATCTATAAGCTGAATTAACTCTAAGCACAACAAATATGTAGAAAACTACATAAAAATCACATCATAAACAATTTTCTCAAAAAAATGAATAAAAACTATATCTATCTGAACAACAACCAGTGGGAAAAGACAGAGTATGTACAGAGAATCAGAGAAAATCTGACAAGATATCTCTTAACAGAAAAACTACCAGTGCAAAGATATTGAAGCAAACAATTTAAAGTATTGAAAGTATGCTATCAACATAAAATTCTACAGGCAATGCAAATGGCTTTTAAGATATGGCAGTGAAATAAAATCTTTTTCAGGTACCAGCAGCTGAAAGAATTTATTACAGGAATACCTGCCCTACAAGAAATGATAAAAGAAGTATTTAAGGTAAAAGAAAATAATACTAAATGAAAGCTTGTCTACACTAACAAAATAGAGAGCAATAGAACTGGTAACTCTACAGGTGAATATTAAATAATGTTTATATTATTTTAGCTTATTTTAAAAATAAACTGTTTAAAGCAAAAACACTAACAAAGAATTGTGTGATTAAGAATATATGCAGAAATTAATTATATGATGGCAGTAACACAAAATCCAGGAGAAGTAACATGAAAGTTAACTATTGTAAATTATTTGTAACTCAGTTTAAATTGGATAATATAACTTGAAAGTAGACTGCGATAAATTAAAGGTGTATACTATAAACATAAAAGCAATCATTACAAGAACAGAACACAACAAAAAAATATAGCCAAAAATTCTGCTACAAAGATAAAATATCGTTGACAAATATAACAAATTCCAAATGAGGCAGTAAAAAATGGGGAAAAAAAACAAAGAACAAAAGAAACAAATAGAAACAAATGTTGAGATGATAAACTTAAATATGTCACCAACAAAACTAAAAGTAAATGGTCTATACATCCCAATTCAAAGATGGAGATTCTCAGATTGAATTGAAAAATATGACCCAATTGTATACTACCTATAAGAGAACTACTTTAGAGATAAAGACACAAGTAGGTTAAAAGGATGAGAAAAGATACACCATACCGACACTACCTAGACAAGGTAAAAGTGTAGTTATACTTTAATACCAGATAAAGTAGAATTTAATAAAAAAATAACCAGTATTATTAGGGATAAGTCATTTCATAATGATGAAGAGTTAACTTAATCAAGAAGGCTTGATAATCTGCACATTAATGCACCTCATAACAGAGCTTCAAGGTAAATTAAAAAGCAAAAAATGGATAGAACTGCAAGGAGAAATAGACAAACCCATAATTATAGTCAAATATTTCAATAGCTGTCTTTCAATAATTGATAAAACATTTGTATAGAAAATCAGCAACGATACAATAAACTTGAATAACACTACAACCAAACTGAGCTTATTTATATTATACATCACTCCATACAGAACTAGCAGGATATAATTTTTTTTCCAAGTGAATATGAAACGTTTACCAAGATAGTTTATATGCTGAGGCACAACACAAATCTAAAGAGATTTAAAAGTTTTAAGTCATACAAAGTTATTTTTCAGACCAAAACATAGTTAAATTCGACATCAGAAACAGGATAATTATAGGGAAACTCTCCAGATATTAAAAAATATAATAAACACTTAAATAGCTCACAGATCAAAGAAGAAATTTTGAAAGAAATTTTAAAATGTTTTAAACTAAATGTAATTGAAAACACAACATTTTAAATATTCTGGGCTGCTGCTAAAGCATAATCTGGAGGTAAATTTATAGGATAAATTGACAATGTTTTTTTTCTGTTATTTAGCAAGTCTGAAAAAGATTTAGAAGTGATAGATAAGTAGTACTAGTAAATAATGTTTATCAATTATTGTCTGTTTCTCCTATTAGAATGTGTGCTCCAGTAGGGAAGCAGTAAGTGTCTGGTTTAAAGGTGTACCCCAAGCACCTAAAATACTGTCTGGCATGTTAAGTTAGCATTTAATCAATAAGATAACATGTTCGTTGGTCAGAAAACTCAATACAATTAATTAAGATGTCAATTCTGACTAAATTGATCTATTCATTCAACGCAATGTCAAACACAATGCTTGTAGGCTTGTGTGCATGTGTGTGTGAAGAGGGGGAGATAGAGTATCCATATATATGATAAAGGGCTGATGTGGGGAATACATAAATAACTCTAAAAACGAAATTTAAAAATAGTTAATAAAATAAGCTAAATATTTACATGGTTATTTTAGCAAAAAAGATTGTTAAAATATACAAAGCTAACCATAATAAGTGCTGGCAAGAGTGTAGAAGACCTGGACCTCTCAATCACTGCTGGTCCTATTGTAAAACAGTACAACCATGTTGGAAATTAGTTTAGTTAACTAAGTAAACTATTACTTGGAAATTAGTTTAATTAACTAAGTTAACTATTAGTTAACTAATTAACTGATAAGTTAGTTTAATTAGCTTGTTTCTAAAAAGTTAAAAACATACACCTACCATAGGACACAGCCATTCTACTCATAAACATTTACTCAAGAGAAATAAAACCATCTATCTATGCAAAGACTTGTACACAAATGGTCACTGCAACTTTATATGTAAGAGCCAAAATTCTAAAATGACCCAAATGTCTATCAACATTTGAATGGATACATAAATTGTAATATAGCCATACAGTAGAATGTTGCTTATTCATCAATGAAAATGAATAAACTACTGATGTACTCAACGCATCTAAATTTACAAATAATTATGTTGAGTGAAAGATGTCAGAAAACAAAAAGTACATATATTATTATTCATCTATTTAAAATAAGGTGTTAAGAAGAGTAGGAGAGAATTGTTACAAAGAGGCATGAAGAACCTCTGGATGCTGGATATATTCCCTATATTTTGGTGATTATTTTATGGAGGCATAAATATGCCAAAACTTATCAAATCACAAATTTTTAATAAATACAGTTTACTATATGTCAGATACACCTCAGTAAACCTGTATTTAAAGTGTAAAAAGTAATTAACTCTATTTGTTACAAAGCTCAGTTTTAATTGCTCTGTTCAATGTAAAGAAGCAGAAATGTGTCCATATGGTAGGCTTTCAGATGCTCTAGATTAATTTTTTGGACACAGACTTGCTAAATAACAGAAAAAATTTAATTATTCATACTGAAAAAATAGCAAAATTGTAATTGTGAGTATGTTATTATGACTAGATGAGAAGAATTGTTTTTCCTTATCTGTACTTTCATAATTTTCTTCAATAGAATTATATGATTTATTAACATGAAAATATGATAGTTTTCAAATTAATCTCTGCTTCTTTAGAATCCAATAATAAAAGCCAGAATCTAGGAAGAAGGAGACTAAGAAACATTAGTTTTGTGCCGGGTGCTGTGGCTCACGCCTGCAATTTCAGCACTTTGGAAGGCCAAGGCAGGCGGGTCACCTGAAGTCAGGAGTTAGAGACCAGTCTGGCCAACATAGTGAAACCCCGTTTCTACTAAAAATACAAAAATTAGCTGGGCGTGGTGGCGCATAACTGTAATCCCAGCTACTCCGGAGGCTGAGGCAGGAGAATTACTTGAACCCAGGAGGCGGAGGTTGCAGTGAGCTGAGATCGCGTCACTGCACTCTAGCCTGGGCAACAGAGTGAGAGTCCGTCTCAAAAAAAAAAAAAGAAAAAAAAAAGAAACATTAGTTTTGGGTTGCAAATAAACTCCAAAGTAGATCATCCACATGTCTAATCAATAGTTAACTATAATTCTTCTTTTGTCATGTAAAAAACCAGCAAAAAATTCCTTTACAAATTATGAGTAGAACAACTTTAATGTCTTATATTTTCAGATCTGAAATATTTTCAGTGTCTAACAATTAGCAGATACTTGGAAATTAATTAATTCACACACTTAAGTGTCTACTATCATTCAGTTGGTTAACATATTGTCTGTTCCAGTTGAAAATGCTTACTATAAATTTGATAGTCTGCTGTCTATAGAACTAGGACTAGGCTGGAGATAATGATGCCCGGGTTATTGTTTCTGCTTTTGGATTCTAGATTCATTCACTGAACAAATGTTGATTACATGCCAACTATATGTCAGACAGTAGTTTAGGTGCTTGGGGTACTCTTTTAAACCAGATACTTATTGCTTCCCCACTGGAGCACATATTCTAATGGGAGGAACAGACAATAAATGATAAACATTATTTACTAGACACTTCTTATCCACTACTTCTAAATCCCATCAGTGCCTCCCCCTTCTTAGAACAGCCAGTAATTCAGCAAACATTTTTATGAGGGCTTTGACTTGCTTTGCACAGGTGCCAGGAAAGAGCATTCTGCTTCAACCCTCAGATGTATCCTTCATGCTTGCTGCTCTGAGACTTTACTTAAAAACCTTCCCATATGCACACATGTATAGGCACACAGTAGGGAAGGGGACTTAATTTCTGTGGTCCACATTTTATAATATGGAACAGAACCTGATGAATTGATGAATAAATACTCTTTCTGTTTATTTTCTATGGCTCATCAGAAAGTTCTAGCAGAATCAAGCACCAGTTTTTCATAGTGGTAGCATATGATAAAGAGTTTAACTCCATTTTTGGATATTGGTCAGTTTTTAAGCCTAATTTCTTCTTTTTCCCTTTCTGATCCACATCTAGTTAAGCAGTAAGAAAGCTTAGGTCTTCCTCCTTTTTCTCTGGCAGAAAGTTCAAATTGTGGAAGCTCTGGTCCACATATGGGAATGCTCCTCTGACTCACATCCCCTAACCACCATAAGGACTCCAAGCCAATCTTCTTTCTCAGCCACTTTTGGACCTACTTGAGATTTTTCCCTGATGTCCCCAGAAAGCCTCATTATGTGAGTAATACAACTTTTTATATTGTTTTGGTGGTGTCATCAGTCTCAACATCCAAAGCAAATATTGGGTGAGGGTCCATCCTATCTCTATGGAGTGACTACCACACAGCAAATCTGAAGAAACATTCTTCCATTGTCTTTCTCTCTTTTCATATTTCACTGCATTTTTTTCTTATACTCCTTATCCCAGGGATCATATTTCCATATAAACCACAATGAAACATTTAGAGGAAAGGTCATAGGGTAGGAGCATTTCCGGCATGTTCAATCAATAGCAAAGTGAAACAATGTGGCTGTTGTAAAATAAGCAAGAAAGTAAGTAATAGGGGATAAGGACAGAGAGTAAATAGAGGTTGGGGTTAGAACATATAAAACTTAAGCTTTTACTCTATGTGAGATAATAAGCCTTTGTATGTTTTTGAGCAGTGGGATTGCATGATTTGTTTATGTAACAGAGAGACAAATGCAGAAGCAGAAAAAATAGTAAAAAGCTATTGTAATAATTCAGGCTAAAGATGAGGTTAACTTGGACTAGGGAGGTCATAATTTCCTTTACTTTTCAAAGCCTAAGTTTCTTTATATGTAAAATTTCCCACTCAACCTAAAGAATTCTGTGGGAGTAGAAATGAAATTTAATTTTTGAAAACCATATGATAAGCTGAAAAGGAAAAACAGTTAACTTTCTGGGTGTTTTCTACATACCAAATAACCTCTAAATGTTTTGACCATATATTCAAGTAGCTACTGCTATGATACCCCCTTTAAGATAAGGAAACTGGGACTAATTTTTCTAATTTTCATGGCTAGTTAGAAACACAGTTGAAATTTGAACTTGAATTTTTGGACCAAAGCCTGTATTCTTAAGCACCATGCTGTACAGCTTAGAATGGATATAAAAATTAAGTCTCTTAGTCGCAGAAAATGAGTCATGTGGTCACAGCATTTTAAGCACTTTGTAGGTTCATTTCCCTTCTTTGTCATCTGTCACTCTTTCAGAGCCTAGCAACTTAACTGTATTTGGCTTATATTAAGTGTGTTTTGATCAATAGGTCAGCCTACTTTAAGTGCATAGCTCTTTATAATAATATACTATCAAAATATATTTTCCTTATAATGGCAAGTGTTCCTGTTTCTGAAATGTTCAAGCCCATAGTAACTCAAGACTTATCATATAAGACAATCCTATAGATGTAAAGTGTTAAAATTTACAATGCATAAAAATGTTTTTATCTTCATTAAAATGAAACTGGAAGTAGTTAGGGCAGAGATAACGATACTAGTTGTTTTTTTTTTTTTAATGAATTGAACCCCTGTAAGAAAGATTGATGATATTAAATATCAAAAAATTACAGGCCATTCCATGTGTAGTCTCTTTCAAAAAACTTCTTATGCATGTCCATTATAAAAGTTTTGCTTTTATCCCAAAAAGACCAACAAGAAATGCTGCTGTTTTATTGTTTGTTTCATTGCCAGAAAAAAATCATATTCACGTGAACACCAGCAACAAAGTGTTAAATGTTATCCTCCCTAAAACACATATGTTTATTATAGTATGGGCTGTTACTTTAAATTAAGAGTTACAAATAAGTAATTTACATTTAATATAAAGTTTTATGCATAAAATACCAATTAATTTGTCATAAATAAATTGCTGTTTTCATAAATTAATAGCCACACAGTCTTCAGAAAATACAGTATATTGATAAGAATGTAATTAAGCCTTTATTGCTCATGTAATTTAAAATTAAATTAATTGGATGGCAAGTGAACCTCATTAAGCATTCTTCTTACAATCAATGTATATCTCATTAACATACAATACCTACCTAAATATACCTAAATGAAATAGAAGGTTTTTGGAGCATAGGACAAATATATGATTTTAATATATTTTGGGGACTCAAAATAATAGTACATTTTTCCAAGATTTAGACCCTGTTTTAAGGAGAAATTTCAGTCTCTCCATTATTCATTGGTTGAAATATGCTGAAAATAGATTATTTCTGCCTGAATCCCAATGGACTGAGAAAAAAAATCAAATGAAGCCCAACCTTATCAATGAGATCATTAATTACTTAACAAAATGAAAAGAATTGGCACTGATTCATTAGCAGACAATAGAGTCACCTTGTCCAAAATTATTTTTTGTTGAGAACTGCTTTGATTATTTAATGTGTTCAGATTGATAATGGGAGGGGCTATCTGATGCTGAGAAATCCTATTTCAGGCAAAGGGCAGGTGAGAAGGAAGGAAAGTGCTTGTTGAAAAGGAGAAACGGTATTCACTAGACCTTTGAAACCTCTGGGAAAAAGACACCAAGTAGTCTTCCCAATGTGCAATAAACATAATTAAAAATTGGTCACCAAGATTCCCACCCCTTGCCATTAATACCTTGTAGGATCTCCTTCCCTTGAGTTCCATGAAGGTACGTAGATAGGTTGTCACCTTGAGTAAGCTTTGTGAGACTTTGAAGAGAGGACGCAGTCAAGTTGTACTCAAATTCCTGACCCAAGGAAACACAATGAATGTTCATTGTTTTGAGCAGTTAAGTTCATGATAATGCACAATGCAACATAAAAACCTCACACACTGGCTTAGTGTATTTTTAGGGCTACCTTATAGATAAAAGGTAAATAAATTTTGCAGATGAGATTATGGTGCCCAATCAGTTGACTCTGAGTTAGTCAAAAGGGAGACTATCCTGGGTAGGCCTAGCCTAGCAACATAAGCTCTTAAAACTGACGTGAAGCAGCAGCAGAAGACTCTCTGCTGTCTTTGAATACTCAAACATCCACATTTTGAACTGCCTTTAAAGGGAATCCACAGATCCACATGGCAAAGGCCCAAGAATAGTGATAGGAGCTGAGAATGTTCACTTGACAACAGCTAGAAAAAAAAAAAAGCTACTGTAGTCATACAACAGTAAGGAAATTAATTCTGTCAACATCCAGTGAACTCAGAAGGGGACTCTGAGCCTCAGATAATATTGCAGCACTGGAAGACACCTACATTGGAGACTCGTAATACCCTGAGCAGATGGGAAGACAAAGCCAGTGCTGGGCTTCTAATCTACAGACAACTGTGAGGTAACAAATGCATGTGGTTTTAAAACACTTAGCCTGTGGTAATATATTATGCGATAAATAACTAATACTCATCAATTTAAGACTTTATGAGAGCTGTGAAGAGAGGTATGTGGCAGCTGTAACCACACAATATACCAAATATTAATAAAATAGAGATGCTTGCCAAACTTACCTATGGCTCAACTAGAAAAATAAAATAAAATTGTCAAGCAAGTGCTCAAAAATGGCTACAGTGGGCCTCTGCTTAAAACAAACAAAACAGGAGGGGCTTCAAAATGACTGACTAGAAGCATTTCATGCTTGCCTCTCCCACTTAAAAGAAACAAAATCGTGTATAGACAACCACATTTTGAATACATTATCCAACAAAAACACATGAATCCATCAGAAAAGTGACAGAAAACATCAAAGGCATGAAGGGAAAATGAAGAGAGGCACCTTGCTTGGCTTGGATTTGCTGAGACCTGGACGTGACTTCCCAATGTGGGGAAAGGGTAAGTAAGAGACTTCCAGTGGCCATATTCTCTCCATAAAATTATGTAATCCTGGGCATGGGAGAGCACTTACATTAACATAGGAAGCTGCCAGGAGACTGTGGGACAGAACTGGTCCAGGAGGAGAGCTTGCACTGTCTCACATACTTTCTGAGACCTAAACAGCTACAGCAAGATATCATTTTCAGTCTGAACCTTTGGTAGACTGCATGCTTCCCTGGGTCCCAGGAATGAGGTGTTAGGGAAACTTTGGTTGTCACAGCTGGTACTGGGGTACAAGCTGGGAGCACCCCCATAGCCAGGGCTGAGGCATAAGCAAAAGGTGGGCTGTAGCTGCTGATGTTGGGAAGCAAGTACTGACAGAACCAAGATTGGTTCATAAACCAGGTACAAGTTGCCCCAGGGACTTAGTCGTGAGATGGGCAGACATTCCTGTAGCTGGAACTGAGGCCCAAGTTAGGCATGGTCTACCACCAGCAGAGCTAGGGACAAGCCTTTCCAAGGCTGGGGCATGAAATGGATGTGTGTTCCCCACCTGCCAAATCAGTCTGCAGCCACTGAGTCCAGCCCCACCTTCTCCATTGGCAGGGCCTGGGCACAGATACTATCAGCCCACATCTGACAACTCCACAGGGCATGAGGATCATCCTGCCCTTACCCACCACAGATGGCACCTCCTCTCCCCACTGGGGGGCCTGAAGTCAAGGCCACTCAGCTCTGCTACACACCCTCAAAACAAAACACATAGGCTGGGAGTCCTGGAGATTGCTCAACTTAGTCCACCTCCTTGGGCACATGAGTATTTTGGGGCCTAAAGTTGGTCCTTAGTTCCCAATTGTCACCATCTCAGCTGGCACCTACCTGCAAGTGCCACCTTCAGGCCTGGAGACTGGACAGCCAAGCACATAATAGCCACTGCCGAAATCAGTGCACATGGCTTAGGACCCAGAGACTAATCCCAACACTGCTACTGTCATAGCCCACAGTATATCAGTTGTCCAGAAGCCCGACAATCTACTCGTCTACCTGGTCCACTGCTTCCATTACTCAATTGAGCAGCCCACTTGAAGGCTCAAGAATCAGTCCACCAATAACCACTAAAACTGGAGCCAGTGTACACTCCCTGGGGCAACAAGATTGGCATTCTCAGTCTCCTGTGACAACTACTGGGGCCTGAAGCCTGGCACATTTAGTGTTCCACATCCAAGCACAACTTCACCACAGCCTCTACTAATAAGCATACCCTAAACCACAGAGAAAATCACAGACACTATCAATATTTTCTGCAGTCAAATAAATAATACAGAGATGACACTTGTATACGCATCCAAAATCAAAGCCAGTGCCATAATCGACCAACACCATAAAAACATATTCAGGAAAAAGTACTAACCTATAAAAGTAAATTCAAGAATAGGAAGAAGTGACTGTTACAGCTGATGCACAGATATCTCTGTAAGGACATAGGAAATATGAAAAAGCAAGAAAATATTACACCTCCAGAGAAGTAAAATGTTTCTGCCTCAATAGACCACAATCAAAAAGAAATTTCCAAACTCCAAGAAAAAAATTAAAATATTTGTTTTAAAGAAGCCAGTGAGATAGAAAAGACTTCTGAAAAACTATACAATGGAATCAGAAAACAATTCAGAACATAAAGGTGAAATTTATGAAAGAAATAGATATTTTTTAAAGAAATAAAAGTTACTGAATTGAAGTTTATTGAAAGAAATAAAAAACATTAGAAAGCTTCAACAATAGATTATTAGATCAAGAAGGAAAAATAACCTGAAAACTTGAAGACAGGTATTTTGAAATAATCCGGTCAGAAAAGAATAAAGAAGAAAAGATAAAAAAAAATAAGCAAAGTCTTTGTAATATTTGGGACAATGTAAAGTAACTAAATACACAATCATCTGTATCCCCAAGAGCAAAGAGAGGGGAAAAAAGTTTAGAAAACCTTTTAAACGAAATAATAGATACTTATTTTCCAAGTCTAGAAAGAGATTTAGACATTCAGGTACAGGAGGCTCGCCATTCCCAGGCAGTTACAATGCAAAAATATCTTTTCCAGAGCAGATTATGGTCATACCATTTCAAATCAAACAGCAAATCAGAAAAAAACAGCTAAAGAAAAGAATAAAGTAACCTATAAAGAAAGTTCCATCATGTTAACATCAAATTACTCAACGGAAACCTTGCAGGCCAAAAGACGATGGGATGATTTATTCAAAGTGCTGAAGTGAAAATAACAACAAAAAATCTCTGTCAGTCAAGAATATTCTATCCATAAAATTAGATTTGACAAATGAAGGAGAAATAAAGTCTTTTCCAGACAGGAAAACGCTGAGGGAATTTACTAACACTATACTGGCCATACAAGAAGTGCTCAAGAGAGTACTAAACCTGGAATTGAAAGGGTGACATTTACCATCACGAAAGCAAACAAAGGTAAAAACTCACAGGAAAAGCAATTATACAAAAGAATAAGAAATAGGACTAAAATGGTACCACGACAGAAATGTACCAAACAATGACAATGATAAAGAAAAAGCAAAGACAAAATGATATAAAAAAACAACCAGAAAATAATTAATAATATGACAGGAATGAAACCTCACATAACAATAATAACCTTGAATGCAACTTAATTACAACTTAAAAGATACAGATTTTTTATTAAGATGGCAGATTAGAGGCTTTAGCATGGCTCAGACACTTGGAAATAGCAATATAGTGCATAAAGATTAACTCTCTGAGCCTTAATTCAAGAAGTAAAATGAGAATCCACCAGAATTGTGAAGGACTCCCCAAATCTCAGAGGGAAACATGAGCAAACAGCCCTTGTGTGGTGGTTAATATTAAGAGTTAGCTTGATTGGATTGAAGGATGCAAAGTATTGTTTCTTGGTTTATCTAGGTGTTTCTGGGTGATGCCAGAGAGATTAACATTTGAATCAGTGGACTGGGGAAGAAAGACCCACTAACAATGTGGGTGGGCACCATCCAACTGGCTGCCAGTGTGGCTAGAAAAAGCAGGCAGAAAAAGGTGGAAGAAGCTGACTTGCTGAGCCTTCCAGCCTAAATCTTTCTCCGATTCTGGATGCTTCCTGCTCTGGAACATCGGACTCCCAAGTTCTTTGGCTTGTGGACTCTTGGACTTACACCAGTGGTTTGCCAGAGGTTCTTGGGCCTTCAGCCACAGACTGAAGGCTGTAATATTGGCTTCCCTACTTTTGAGGTTTTGGGACTCGGACTGAGCCACTACTGGCTTTCTTGCCCCTCAACTTTCAGACGGCCTATGGTGGGACTTTACCTTGTAGTTATGTGAGTGAATTGTCCTTAATAAACTCCTTTTCATATATACATATATCCTATTAGTTCTGTCCCTTTAGAGAGAACTTTAATTAATACACGTTGCAACAGCATTCAGCTTTAAAAAGTGAGTAACCCGCCCCTCCCCCGTCCCGCCCAGGTCACATCTCCCAGGATGTGAGTGCGGCAGAAAGGCTCCCACTGTGACTCATCTTTCCACTGGGGATCCAAGCAACCCAGGCTGAGGGAGAACGCTTTGTTTTTCCCATGCTCTGGAGCTAACATGGGCAAAGTCTTGGAGGCACTGAGAGTAAGACACTGGGAAAAACTGCAGGTATTTTCCCAGACCTGAGACTGATAGCACGACATTATTTTTAATCTGGGCACACAAAGTAAGACATTCTTTGGTGATACAACACTGTGGCAGTGTAGGCATTTTTGTTTCAGGCCAGAGATTGGAGCACTAGCTCTGGAGTGGGGTAGGGGACTCCACAGACAGAACTGTAGATAGCAGTTCAGCAGTAGAAACTGGAACTGTGCTTTCCACCATTGCAAGCCTGGGGCATGTGGAGAAATGCTTTAGCTGCAGTTTCTCCTGGGCAATGAGATTTGTAGCCAGGGCCAGCTTGGTAACCTGGAACTGGTCTGCATGTACAGCAAAATAATCGACAGAGTGAACCAAAAGTACACCTGTTGAATGGAAGAAAATATTTGCAAACTACTCATCTGGCGGGGGACAAATATCCAGAATACACAAGAATATCAAACAACTCAACGATAAATGAAGAAATTATTCCATTAATGAATTGGCAAACAACATGAGTTGACATTTCTCAAAAGAAGAAAAAGGGCCAAGAAGTATCTGAAAAAATGCTCAATACCAGTAATCATCATAGAAATGCAAATCATATTACCCCAGTCAGAATGGCTATCATCTTAAATACAAAAACAATAACAACAACAACAACAACTTAAAAAAAAAAAGATGTTGGCAAGAATGCAGAGAAAAGGGAATTCTTATACACTGTTTGTGGGAATGTAAACTGGTACAGCCACCATAAAACAGTATGGAGATTCCCAAAAAAAACTAAAAATAGAATTACCATTCAATCCAGCAAATCCACTACTGGGAATCTACCCAAAGGAAAATATATCAATACTTCAAATGGGACACCTGCGCTTGTGTGTTTATTGCAGCACTATTCACAATAGGAAAGAAATAGAAAAGATATGGAATCAATCTGTGTCCATCAGTGGATACATAAAATACAATGTATGTACACAATAGAATACTATTAATATTTGACCATTTGAAAAAATGAAATTATGTTATTTGTAGCAACATGGCTGGATCTGGACGTCATTTTCCAAAGTGAAATAAGTCAGGTAATAAAAGGCAAATATCACATGTTTTCACTTATATGTGAGAGTTAAAAACAGCAGTCAGGTGAAAGAGATCAAGTCAATTTATATGGAGAATTCTGAAGTAATTCCATGATACATATCATTTTTAAATTGCCTTTTGTAAACTATATCAGATGTTAGATAGTGGTGAATGATTGGACTCGGCTCTCCAACAACCTCCCCTACGTGTTGCTAAATGGGAGTGATTTCCAAAGGTTATTTTGTCTCCATTCAAAAATAATGACTTTTTTAGCAGTATGTCAAAAAAAGAATGATTTTTTTTTTATTTAACAGTGTGCTAAATGTACTTATAGTCTTGAGTTCAATGAAGAGCTGGAGAACTGTGTCCTTCCATGTGATAATTGTACTCATTCGTATTACAACTGGGAAAAACAGCCAACTGCATGATTTAATGTTGATTGGTGACTTGGGTGGTCTTCAAGTAGATACTGTATGGACAAAGAAGGGGCACTATTAACAATCCCACAAGCACTTCAAAACAAGTTGTATATGTTAGTCTGTTCTTACATTGCTATAAATACCTGAGACTGGGTAATTTATAGAGAAAAGAGGTTTAGTTGGCTCATGGTTCTACAGGCTGTACAGGAAGCATGGTGCTGGCATCTGCTTCTGTTGAAGGCCTTAGGGAGCTTCCACTCATGATGAAAGGTGAAGGGGGAGCAGGCATATTACATGGTAAGAGAGGGGGCAAGAGAGAGAGAAAGGGATGAGCTTCCAGGCTCTTTTAAACAATCTGATCTCACAGAACTAACTGAATGAGAAATCACTCATTAGCAAGGGGATGGCTTTAAGCCTTTCATGAAGAATCCACCCCTATGATCCAACACCTCTCACTAGACCCAACTTTCAACATTGAAGATAACACCTCAACATGAGATTTGGAAGGGCAAACATCCAAATCACACCAGTGCACTGTTTTTCTCCACCTTATTATTGTAAAATATAAAGATTACTGTATGATGTTCAAGAACTGTCAGAAAATAACTGAGATGACAATGCAAGTAGGTAACTAGGTAATTTTTCTTGGGACAGAAATTCCAGTAATAGGGGGTACTGATTAAAATATTATTTCTATTAACCTCTGTTCAAATTTGAGTTCCAATACTGGAAGGAGCTATTTGGCTAAAGGAATAGGTGGCTTGGTGCAGTAATACTTTGGTAGCCACTGTGCTAGCAGCTGAAAGAATCTGGTATCCTTGCCAGATGTCATAAAATTGTAAGCTTCTAGCTAATCTTAGGAATTGGAAAGAAGGGCAGTGGAGGAAACAAGAAATAGACTGTGGGATAGAGAACAGGGCCAGAACGCAGGACATCTGGGCTTGCCACAATTGAGTACTGGAAAAATGGGGAAGTTGTCACCTTCTAGAAATAATAAAAATTTAAAAATAACTATCTAAAAGAAATCTACTCTTCCAAGTCTCTTCAGGCAAAGAATTGGTTTTTTACTGCACCACACATGCAGGCACATAGCTGAGACCATCCAGAGGAGTGAACATTTTGAAAAAAGGGAAGACTTGGACTTGACCAACTCTCAATTGTCAAGTCCAAGAAAATATATAGAGAACAAAAACCAAAGTGAAGCAAAGCAGAAGCAGCCACAGTGATCAATCAGAACACAAAGGTGTGTCCAAGGAACACACTTGGAGAAATTCCTGAAGACAGAAAAAATTGGGCTTTTTATAAAGGGCTGTAACTAAAGGTAAAACTTAAAAAGGCACTCCTAAGGGTGTGTAGGTGGGTTAGACATACTCCCTTGCTCATTAAGTTATTTTCAAATAAGGTAATAGACAGAAAATCAATTATCAAATGAAAGGAAGTCCTATTTAATTTCTATTAGTATTTTTTACTATCAAAATATTCAAAAGTATACCATCACTTCTGCTTTCCAGTTCAGCATGTTGCAAGTTTAGAAGTCGCCACCTCATCCTAACAACAAGCAAAAAGCAATACACAGTTTAAAATAAAAACTCTTTAACTTTTATTTTATGTTCAGGAGTACAAGTGCAGGTTTGTTACATAAACTTGTGTCATGGAAATTTGTTGTACAGATTAGTTCATCACCCAGGTATTAAGCCTAGTACTCATTAGTTATTTCTCTTTATCCTCTCCCTCCTCCCACCTTCCACACTCCAAAAGGCCCCACTGTGTGTTGTTCCCCTCTATGTGTTCATATGTTCTCATCATTTAGCTCTCACTTATAAGTGAGAACATGCGGTATTTGGTTTTCTGTTTCTGTTAGTTTGCTAAACCCATAAGAAAGATTAAATCACAGGCCAAACAATTGTCCCCAAGTCAGAGTAACAGACAGGTAGATACAGAAAAACCACAACCTACCACAGCAGAAACCCATAAGCAGAAACTTCCACCGCAGCAAGTGTCAGAGCAGGAACACTTGCAATGCAATTGATGAATTGTTAGAGGATTAGTATGTACAAGTTTCAAAACTAAAAACTCTAAGGTTACCCAGTGATAGGAGGGCCTGCACACTTTTAAAGTTTTACCTCTCCCCAGGCATTCTCACTGGTCCTCACGGTGAATATCAGAGACAAGTCACCTCGTGCTTCTGGCAGGGGGAGGAGAAAAGTAACCATTTTTAAATACTCCAGAGCATTTTGTTCTTAACAAGGTCTGCCCTTGTTAAGTCTACCTGTTTCTTCAGAGCCTAACTTACCTAGAGGAAGGGAAATCCCCAACTCCCACCCATTCTAGCCATCCTGTCCCACCTAAAAGTGGGAGAAAAAGGGGGAGAAGCTCTTGCTATTTTCACAGTCCAGGGCCATAGGCTCACCAAAACACTAAGACCTAATCATACAACATGAGCACTTTCTCCCCGGCCCCGCAAAACTTACCACTGCATTATTAAAGCCTATTTACTGCAGTTTCTTTTACCAAATGCATCATGTCCACCTTTCAAAAAAAATAACAAAGCATAGTAAGTGAAAGAAAAAATACAGTTTTGAAGATTCTGAACAAGTATCAGAGCAGGAGTCAGATATTGCAGAAATGTTGAAATTATCAGAATAGAAATTGTTCAAGTCTATGTGTAATATGCTAATCACATCTAACATTACAAAGTAGAAAATATGAAAGTACAGATAGATATTGTCAGCAAAGAGATGGAAATTCTAAGAACCAAAAGAAATATTAGAGATGAAAAACACTGTAATAGAAATAATGACTTTTATGGGCTCATTCGTGGACTCTACATTTTTGAAAAAAACAATCTCTTAGCTCTGAGGACATGACAATAAAAATTTTCAAAAGTAAGAAAAAAACTGAACAACTATAAAAAACTCCCCAAATATCCAAAAACTGACAACTCTAAAATGTGTAACTTACGTAGAATGGGAATACCGGAAAAAAAAAGACAGGAAAAGAAGCAATATGTGAAGCAATAATGGCAGAGAATTTCCTGAAATCAATGTCAGATGCAAAACCACAGATCTCAAAAGTTCAGAGAACACTGAACAAGATAAATGTCAAAAAAACACCCCACAGCTAGACCTAGCATATTTAGGCTTCAGAAAAATCAAAGATGAAGAAAAATTCTTGAAATAAATCAGAAGGGAAAAACACTTTACTTATAGAAGAGCAAAGATAGAAATCACATCCAAATTCTACTCAGAAACCATGTGTCATAGTTTTTTTTTTTTATGTTCCTATAACAGAATACCATACTGGGCAATTTATAATGAATACAAATTTATTTGGCTCATGGTTCTTAAGGCTGAAAAATCCAAGATTAAGAGACCCACCTGTCAATTGCCTTCTTGCTGCATCGCAACATGTTAGAAGGCATCTCTTGGGTGAGAAAGAGAGGAAAAGACTCCAAATTTATTATTTTACCAGAAATTCACTCCCAGTGTAACTAACACACTCCTCCAATAACAGCATTAGTCTATTCATGACGGGAGAATCCTCATGACTGAATCGCCTTTTAAAGCTCTCTCCTCTTAACACTGTTGCATTGAAAATTATATTTCCAACACATGAAATTTAAGGGACACATTTAAACACTAGCATTTAACATCCATCCCCCAAAATGTATGTTCTTATCATATGTAAAATACATTAATACCACCTCAATAGCCACAAAAGCCTTAACTTGTTCCAGCATCAGTTCAAAAGTTCTAAGTCCAGAGTCTCCTCTAAATCTGTTATGGCTGAAACTCAAGACACGATTTATGAGACAAATTTCCCTCCATCTATAAGTCTGTGAAATTAAACAAGCTATGTACTATCAAAATACAGTGGTGGGATAGGCAAAGAATTGACATTCACATTCCAAAAGGGAAAAATAGGCAAGAAGAAAGAGGTAACTGTTCCCCCAGTAAGCCCAAAACCCAGGAGGAAAAACAATATTAAATTCTAAGGCAACATAATAATTTCTTTGACTCCATGTTTCACATCTTGGTCACAGCGGGGTGGGGGTAGGGCTCTCAAGGCCTCAGGAAGCCCCATCCCTATGATCTTTGTAAGCTCAGTCCACCCAGCAGCTCTCATCATGGGTTAGAGTATTTTTTTTCCTGCAGTTTTTCCAGGCTGGAATTGCCCACCGATTGCCCAGGTGGTCCTCTGGCGTCTCAGAGGATGCCCCACTCACATGGCTCCAATGGGCAATGGCTCTGTTCCTAAGAACAAATTTCTGCCTGGATTCCCAGGCAGTCTGCAACTTCCTTTGAAATCTAAGTGGAGACTGCCATGAACTCACAATTCTTGCATTCTACACATTTGCAGAATTAGTACCACATGGACACTGCCAAGGTTTATTATTTATGTTTTCTAGAGTGATAGGAAAAGCCACACCTTGGACTGCATGCAACATAATTGTGGTGGTATCCTTGCCAGCTGGCATAAAATTATAAGCTTCTGATTAATCTTAGGAATTGGAAAGAGGGACTACTATGGCTGCATAGTATTCCATGGTGTATATGTGCCACATTTTCTTAATCCACTCTATCATTGATAGACATTTGGGTTGGTTCCAAATCTTTGCTATTGTGAATAGTGCCACAACAAAGGATTATAAATCATGCTACTATAAAGACACATACACAGGTATGTTTAACAATGTTGTTTCTAAGAAGCCATTGATATAAAATATCTTTCCATTTTTTGGTGTTTTCTTCAATTTCTGACATCAAAGATTTATAGTTGTCAGTGCAGAGATCTTTCACTCCTTTGGTTAATCCCTTGGTATATTATTTTATTTGTAACTGTTGTAGATGGGAATATTTTATTGCTTTATTTTTCAGATTGTTCACTGTTGTTATATAGAAGTGCTACTAATTTTTGTATGTTGATTTTGTATCTTGCAATGTTACTCAATTTTTAAATAGGTTCTAATAGGTTTTTTGTGAAGTCTTTAGGTTTTTTTGCAAATATATGATTGTATGATCTGCAAATAATGATAATTTGTCTTCTTCCTAACCAATTTAGATGACCTTTATTTCTTTTCCTGGCTGATTGTTCTTTCCAAGACTGTCTTGCTATGTTGAATGACAGTGGTGAAAGTGTGCATCCTGTGATGTTCCAGATCTTAGAGGAAACGCTTTCAGTTTTTTCCTATTTTGTATGATAGTAGCTATGAATCTGTCATATATGGCTTTTATTGTGTTATGTTCTTTTTTTAAACATTTTTTGAGGTTTTTTTAATCATGAAGAGATGTTGAATTTTATCAAATGCTTGTGCAGCATCAATTGAAATAATCTTAACGATTTTGTTGTTCATTGGGTTGATATGATATATCACATTGATTGATTTCCATATGTTGAATAATTTTTGCATCCCTGGGATAAATTCCACTTGGTTCATGATTAACAGTCTTTTTAATGTGTTTTTTGAACTTGGTTTGCTAGTATTTTGTTGAAGACTTTTGCATGAATGTCCATCAGTGATGTTGTTTTGTAGTTTCCATTGTTTCATGTGTTTTTGTCTCATTTTGTATCAGGGTAATAATGTTCCCATAGAAAAACTTTGGAAATACTCCCTCCCCCTTATTTTTGGGGAATAGTTTGAGTGGCATTTCTATTATTTCTTCAAAAGTTTGAAAAAAATCAGCATGAAAGCTATCAGGACTCAGGGTTTCCTTGGCTGGGAGAATTTTATTACGGCTTTAGTGTCATTACTTGTTATTGGTCTGTTCAAGTTTTGGATACCTTCATTGTTCAGTCTTGTTAGGTTATGTGTCTAGACATTTATCCATTTCTTCTAGGCTTTCCAACTTATTAGCATATAGTTGCTCATAGTAGCCTCTGATGACCCTTTGAATTTCTCTGGTATTGGTTGTAATGACTCCTTTTCCATCTATGATTTTATTTACTTCAGCCTTCTATCTTTTTTGGAGTTAGTCTGACTAAAGGTTTGTTGATTCTTTTTATAAAAACAAAAAATTTTGTATCATTGATCTTTTGCGTTGTGTCCTTAATTTCAGATTTATTCATTTGCAGTCCAATATTAATTATTTTTTCTCCTAATTTTGGGTTTGATTTGCTCCTGCTTTTCTATTTATTTAAAACGTATAATTACTTCCATTAGTCATGCAAATTAGGTGCAAAACTAGGCATGAAGAACAGTGAAACTATCCCCACCCAGAGTGGCCACGACCACCTACATGATTGTGCATAGAAGGCACACACAGTCCTCCGGTCACAAATGCTCCATAGCCATGCTAACACTACCACCTGTGCAAATGTTTGCAGTAGCTGGTGGCTCCCTCACACCCCAGGCCACATTGCCACTGCTGTAAACACCCACATGGAGGATGGCACCCTGGCACCTGCTAGCACCCTACAGCAGCTGATGAGTGTGCACCTTGCCACAATGATGATACTGCCACTGCAGATGGCACATGTGAACAAGGATGGATCCTACTGCTACAAAGTGCTTTCGCTGGCAGCATCCAACAGCATGTAGTGACCAGAGGTTGGAAAGCACCTTGGCCCCTCCAGCACAGCAGGTTCCTAACCTTAAAGAGCCAGAGAACAAAGCCAGAGCCCGATATCAGTCCCTCAGTGTTAGAAAATGCAGTCCAAGCATCCTCAGCTGGCCTTGGCCTCCTAAAAATCTTCCAGAAATGAAGACAGTTGACTGAACCCACCTTATACCCAATGAAATCCTCAAGGTCATCAAATAGGATAAAATTATTAAAAATCCATCCAAAGGACATCAACTTTGAAGATGAAAGTAAAATTAGCCCACAAGGATGAGATAGAACCAGCACAATTACTCTGAAAAGTCAAAATGCCTAAGTACCTTCCTTCCTCCAAATGATTGCAGTAGATCTCCAGCAATGATTCTTAACCAAACTGAGATGGCTAAAGTGACAGAAATAGAATTAAAAATATAGATAGAAACAAAGATTATCGAGATTCAGGGGAGCACTGAAACCCAATCTAAGGAAGCCAAGAATCACAGTGAAATAATATAGGAGCCGACAGACAAAAAGGGCAGTATAGAAAAGAAGGCAAGCAATCTCATAGAACTGAAAAACACACTCCAATAATTTCATAATGCAATTACAAGTGTTAGCAGAATAAACCTAACAGAGAAGAGAATCTCAGGCTCAAAGACTGGCTTTCTGAAATAAGACAGTCAGATAAGAATTTTTTAAAGGAATAAAAAGGAATGAATAAAACCTCCAAAAATATGGGATTATGTAAAAAGAACAATTCCATGACTCATTGGCATCTCTGAAAGAAATGGGGAGAATGGAAGCAACTTGAAAAACATATTTCAGCATGTATTAGTCCGCTTTCATGCTGCTGATAAAGACATACCTGAGACTGAGCAATTTACAGAAGAAAGAGGTTTAATGGATTCACAGTTTCACATGGCTATGAAGGCCTCACAATCATGGCAGAAGGTGAAAGGCACATTTCACATGGTGGCAGACAAGAGAAGAGAATGAGACCCAAGCAAAAGGGGTTTCTTCTTATAAAACCATTAGATCTTGTGAGACTTATTCACTACCATGAGAATAGTATGGGGGAAACTGCCCCTATGATTCAATCGTTTCCCACTGAGTCCCTCCCACAACTTAAGGGAATTATGGGAGCTATAATTCAAGATGAGATTTGGGTGGAGGCACAGTCAAACCATATCTTTCCCCCCCGGCCCCTCCCAAATCTTATGTCCTCAAATTTCAAAACCAATCATGCCTTCCCAACAGTCCCCCAAAATCTTAACTCATTTTACCATTAACTCAAAAGTCCATAGTCCAAAGTCTCATCTGAAACAAGGCAAGTCTCTTTCACCTATGAGCCTCAAAAATAAAAGCATGTTACTTACTTCCTAGATACAATGGGGATACAGGCATTGGGTAAATATAGCTATTCCAAATGGGAGAAATTGGCCAAAACAAAGGGGCTACAAGCCCCATGCAAGTCCAAAATCCAGCAGGACAGTCAAATCTTAAATTTCCAACATAATCTCCTTTGACTCCATGTCTCACATCCAGGTCACGCTAATGCAAGAGGTGCTTTCCCACGGTCTTGGGAAGCTCCACCCCTGTGTCTTTGCAGGGTACAGCCTCCCTCCCAGCTGCTTTCATGGGCTTGCATTGAGTGTCTGCAGCTTTTCCAGGCTCACAATGCAAGCTGTTGGTGGACCTACCATTCTGGGGTCTGGAGAAGGGTGCCCCTCTTCTCACAGCTCCACTAGGCAAAGACCCAGTAGAAACTCTGTTTGGGGGCTCCAAACTAACATTTCCTTCTGCATTGCCCTAGCAGAGGTTCTCCATGAGGACCCTGCCCCTACAGCAAACTTCTTCCTGGACATCCAGGCATTTCCACACATCCTCTGAAATCTAGGTGGAGGTTCCCAAACCCCACTTCTGGACTTCTGTGTACTTTCAGGCTCGACACCATGTGGAAGCTACCAAGGCTTGGGACTTGCACCCTCTGAAGCCACAGCCTGAGCTCTACATTGGCCCCTGTAAACTGTGTCTGGAGCAGCTGGGACACAGGGCGCCAAGACCCTGTGCTGCACATGGCACGGGGACCCTAGGCCCAGCCCACAAAACCATTTTTTTCTCCTAGGCTTCAGGCCCATGTTGGGAGGTGCTGCCATGAAGACCTCTGACATGCCCTGGAAATATTTTCCCCATTGTCTTGAAGATTGACATTCAGCTCCTAGTTATTTATGCAAATTTCTACAGCTGGCTTGAATTTCTCCCCAGAAAATGGGATTTTCTTTTCTTTCGCATTGTCAGGCTGCAAATTTTCGAACTTTTATGCTCTGTTTCCCTTTTAAAACTGAATGCTTTTAACAGCACCCAAGTCACCTCTTCAATGCTTTGCTGCTTAGAAATGTCTTCTGCCAGATAACCTAAATCATCTCTCTCAAGTTCAAAGTTCCACAAATCTCTAGGGCAGGGGCACAATCCTGCCAGTCTCTTTGCTAAAACATAACAAGAGTCACCTTTGTTCCAGTTGCCAATAAGTTCCTAATCTCCATCTGAGACCACCTCAGCCTGGATTTCTTTGTCCATATCATTATCAGCATTTTTGTCAAAGTCATTCAACAAGTCTCTAGGGAGTTTCAAACTTTCCCACATTTTCCTGTCTTCACCCTCTGCCTGTTACTCAATTCCAAACTCGCTTCTACATTTTCAGGTATCTTTTTTATAGTGCTGCACTCTACTGGTACCAATTTACTATATTAGCCTGGTTTTATGCTGCTGATAAAGATATACTCAAGACTAGGAAACTTCAAAAGAAAGAGGTTTAATGGACTCACAGTTTCCCATGGCTGGGGAGGCCTCACAATCATGGCAGAAGGTGAAAGCCACATAGCACATGGTGACAGACAAGAGAAGAGAATGAGAGCCAAGCAAAAAGGGTTCCTCCTTATAAAACCATCAGATCTCATGCCACTTATTCACTACCATGAGAACAGTATGGGGGATACTGACCCCATGATTCAATCATATCCCACTGGATCCCTCCAACTACATGAGGGAATTATGGGATCTACAATTCAAAATGAGATTTGGATGGAGGCGCAGCCAAACCATATCACAAGATAACATCCATGAGAACTTCCTCAACCTTGCTAGAGGGGCCAGCATTTAAATTTAAGGAATACAGAGAATCCTCACAAAATACTTCATAAGAAGATCATCCCCAAGACATATAATCATCAGATTATCCAAGGTTGAAATAAAAGAAATACTGCTAAAGGCAGCTAGAAAGGAAAAAAAACAGTCACTTACAAAGGGAAGCTCTTTAGACCTTCAGACTAACAGTGACACTCTCAGCAGGCAACCTACAAGCCCAAGGTCAGGGGCCTATTTTCAACATTAAAAAAAAAAAGAACAAAGAATTTCATACCCAGCCAAATTAAACTTCATAAGTGAAGGAAAAATTAAATCATTTTCGGACAAGCAAATGCTGACGGAATTTATTACCACCAGAACTGCCTTTCAAGAGTTTCTAAAAGAAGCACTAAATATAGAAAGAATATACCATTACCAGCCACTGCAAAAGCACATTTAAGTACAGAGACCAGTGGCACTATAAAGCAATCATATTAACAAGTTAACATAATAACCAACAACATGATAACAGAATAAATCAACACATATCAATACTA
The DNA here is from genome assembly GCF_000001405.40 of Homo sapiens. Classification (NCBI taxonomy): domain Eukaryota; kingdom Metazoa; phylum Chordata; class Mammalia; order Primates; family Hominidae; genus Homo; species Homo sapiens. The sequence continues at coordinate 81,643,579 of NC_000023.11, read as the reverse complement.
ATCTTGAATATAAATGGGCTAAAAGCCCCAATTTTAAAAGGCACACTGTGGCAAGGTGGATAAAGGAGAAAGACCCAATGGTATGCTGTCTTCAAAAGAACCATCTCACATGCCATGACACGCATAGGCTCAAAACAAAGGGATGAATAAAATTCTACCAAGCAAATGAAAAACAGAAAAAATCAGGGGTCAGAATCCTAAATTCAGACAAAACAGGCTTTAAACCAACAAAGATCTAAAAAGACAAATCGAGTATTATATCATAATGGGTTAATTAAACAAGAAGACATAGCTATCTTAAATCTCTGTACACTCAACACAGGAGCCCACAGATCCATAAAGCAAGATCTTAGACACCTTCAAAAAGTCTTACATTCTAACGCTGTAACAGTGGGAGACTTCAACACCCCACTGACAGTATTAGTTCATCGAGGCAGAAAATTAACAAAGATATTTAGGACCTAAACTCAACAATGGACCAAATGGATCTGATAGACATTTACAAAACTCCCCACCCTGAAACAACAGAATATACATTCTTCCCATTGCCACATGGTACATACTCAAATCACTATGACCACACAGTTGGACATAAAAGAAATCTCAGGAAATACAAAAAACCCAAAATTATAGCAATCACTTTCTTGAGTCACAGCACAATAAAAATAGAATTCAAGACTAAGAAAATTACTCAAAACCATACAAACTTTGAAATTAAACAACCTGTCCCAGGATGACTTTTGAGTAAATAATAAAATTAAGGCATAAATCAAGATTTTAAAAAAAAAGCTAATGAAAATAATGATACAACATAGGAGAATCACTGGAATGCATCTAAGGCAGTATTAAGAGGGAAATTTATAGCACTAGACACCCACATGAAGAAGTTAAAAAGACCTCAAGTTAACAAACATTATAGCTAAAAGAACTACAGAAGCAAGAGAAAACCAACCTCAAAACTAACAGAAGACAAAACATGACCAAAATCAGACCTGAACTGAAGGAGATTGAGACATGAATAACCTTTTAAAAGACCAATGAAGCTAGGAGCTGGCTTTTGAAAGAAAAAAAAATAAGATAGATTGCTAGCTAGACTAATAAAAAAAGAAACAGAGAAAATCCAAATAAACACAATTAGAAACAACAAAGGAGATACTACCACTAACCCCACAGAAATGCAAATAACAATCAGAGACTATTGTGAACACTTCTATGCACACAAACTAGAAAATATGAAGGAAATGCATAAATTCCTGGACATGTATGCCCTCCCAAGACAGAACCAGGAAGAAACTGTATCCCTGAACAGACCAATAATGAGCTCCAAAATTGAATCGGTAATACAGAGCCTATCAACCAAAAAAAGCCTGGGATGAGATGGATTTGCAACTGAATTCTACCAGATGTTCAAAAAACAGCTGTTACCATTTCTACCGAAAAAATTCCAAAACCTTGAGGAGGAAGGACTCCTCCCTCATTCATTATATGAGGCCAGAATAATCCTGATAGTAAATCCTGCAGAGACTCAACAAACAGAAAACTTCAGGAAAATATCTTTTATGAACATAGATGCAAAAGTTCTTAACAAAATACTAGCAAATTGAATCCAGCAGCACATCAAATTCTAATCCCGAACAATTAAGTAGGCTTTATCCCTGGGATGCAAGTTTTCTATAACATATGCATATCAATAAACATGATTCATTAAATAAACAGAACTAAAGACAAAAACCACATACATGATCATCTCAATAGATGCAGAAAGGGCTTTTAATAATATTCAACATCTCTTCGTGTTAAAAACTCTCAACAAACTGTGTATTGAAGTAAAATATTTCAAAATAATAAGTTCCATCTACGAAAACCCCATAGCCAACATCATACTGAATAGACTAAAGCTTAAAACATTCCCCTTCAAAAATGGCACAAAACAAGGATGTTCTCTCTAACCACTCCTATTCAACATAGTATTAGAAGTCCTAGCCAGAGCAATTAGGTAAAAGAAAGAAATAAAAGACATCAAAATAGGAAAAGAGGAAGTGACGCTATCCCTGTTTGCAGAAGACATGATTCTTCATCTGGAAAACCCCATAGTCTTGGTCCAAAAGCTTCTAAAGCTCATAATGAACTTCAACAAACTTTCAGAATACCAAATCAATGTACAAAAATCACTAGCAGTCCTATACACCAACAACAACCAAGCCAAGATCCAAATCAGGAATGTAATTCCATTCACAATTGCCACAAAAATCATATAATATCTATGAGCACATCTAACCAAGGAGGTGAAAGATATCTACAATAAGAATTACAAAAAGCTGCTGAAATAAATCAGAAATGACACAACAAATGAAAAAACATTTTATTCTAATGGTGATATAATTTGGCTTTGTGTTCCCTTCCAAATCTCATCTCAAATTGTAATCCCCAGTTGCTGAGGGAGATACCTGGTTGGAGGTGACTAAATCATGGGGGCAAATTCCCCCATTCTGTGCTCATGATAGTGAGTGAGTTCTCAGGAGATCCAGTGGTTTTATAAATGGCTCTTCCTCCTTCACTTTCTTCATACTTCTTTCTCTTGCTGCTTTGTGAGGAAGGTGCCTGCTACCCCCCTCAGCCATGATTTTAAGTTGCCTGAGGCCTCCCCAGCCATGTGGAACTGTGAGTCAATTAAACCTCTTTCCTTTGTAAGTTACCCAGTCTCAGGTATTTCTTTCTAGCAGTGTGAGAATAGACTAATACACATGGATAGGAAGAATTAATATCATTAGAATGGCCATACTGCAAAAAGCAATTTACAGATTGAATGATATTTCTATCAAACTACCAATGACATTTTTGACAGAACTGGAAAAAGTATTTTAAAATTTATATCAAACCAAAAATAGAGCCTGACTAGCCAAGACAGTTATAAGCAAAAAGAACAAAACTGGAGGCATCATGTTACTTGACTTAAAACTATACTGCAAGGCTCCAGTAACTAAAACAGCATAGTACTGGTACAAAAACAAACACATAGAACAATGGAACAGAATAGAGAGCCCAGAAACAAAGCTGCATGCCTACAACCAGCTGATCTTTGACAAAGCTGACAAAAACAAGCAATGGAGAAATGACTCCTTATTCAATAAATGGTGTGGGGATAACTGGCTAGCCATATGTAGAAGATTGAAATTGGACCCCTTACCTTTCACTGTATACAAAACTCAACTCCAGTTGGATTAAAGACTAAAATGTAAAACCCAAAACTACAAAAACACTGGAGGACAACCTAGGCAATACCATTCTGGATATAGGAACTGGCAAAGATTTCATGACGGAAATGCCAAAAGCAATTGGAACAAAGGCAAGAATTTACAAATGGGATCTAATTAAACTTAAGAGCTTCTACAAAGCAAGACATTATGAACAGAGTAAACAGACAACTTAAAGAATGGGTGAAAATATTTGTCACTTGTGCATCTGACAAAGGTCTAATATACAGCATCTATAAGAAGCTTAAACATACTTACCAAAAAAAAATTAAAAAGTGGGCAAAGGGCATGAATAGACACTTTTCAAAATAAGACATACGTGCAGCCAACAAGTGTATGAGAAAATGCTCAACATCACTGATCATTAGGGAAATGCAAATCAAAATCACAATGATATTTGAGGTTTCGGAGAGAAGAGAATGCTTATGCACTGTTGGTGGTAGTGTAAATTAGTTCAACCATTGTTGAAAAAAGTTTGTATATTCCTCAAAGAGCTAAAAACCGAACTACTAGGCAACCCAGTGATCCCATTACTGTATATATATCCAAAGGAATACAAATTGTTCTATCATAAAGACATGCACAGGTATGTTCATTGCAGGACTATTTACAAAAGCAAAGACGTGGAATCAACTAAATGCCCATCAATGGTATAAGTAGATGAAGAAAATATGGTACATGTTCATCATGGAATACTATGCAGCCATAAAAAGAATAAGATAATGTTCTTTGTAGGAGCACGTGTGGAGCTGGTGGCCATTATCTTTAGCACACCGACACAGAAACAGAAAATGAAATATCGCATGTTCTCATGTTAAGTGGGAGCTAAATGATGAGAACACATGGACAAAAAGAGGGGAACGACAGACACGGGGTCTATCAGAGGGTGAAGTGTGGGAGGAGGGAGAGGAACACAAAAAATAACTAATGGGTAGTGGGCTTTGCACCTGGGTGATAAAATAAACTGTACAACAAACCCCCATGACACAAGTTTATCTAACAAACCTGCACATGTATCCCTGAACCTAAATGAAATGTATCATTAGGTGATTTATTAGAAGTTTTTTTTTAAAAAAATCTTTTTGATATAGGTGCCTATAGGTATAAACTTTTCTCTTAGAACTGTTTTTGCTGTACCCCATAGGTACTGGCATATTGTGTTTCTATTATTATTTGTTTCAATAAATATTTAATTTTTCTTCTTAATTTCTTCATTGACCCACAGGTCATTCAGGAGTATATTGTTTAATTTTCGTGTCTTTATATAGTTTCCAAAATTCCTCTTGCTATTGATTTCTTGCTTTATTCAATTGTTGTCTGAGAAGATATTTGATATAATTTCCTTTTTTTATTTTTTAAGACTTGTATTGTGTCCAAACATATGGTCTATTCTTGAGAATGATCCACATGCTGAGAAGAATGTGTATTCTGTTGCTGTTGGATAAACTGTTTTGTAAATATCTATGAGGTCTATTTGGTGTATAGTGCAGATCGTCCGATATTTCTTTATTGATGTACCGTTTGGATGATCTGTCCAATGCTGAAAGTGTGGTGTTGAAGTCTCCAGTTATTATGATGCTGGTATCTAACTGTTTTAAGCTCTAGTAATATTTGCTTTATATATCTGGATGTTCCAGTGTTGGATGACTATATACTTAAGCTTGTTATAACTTTTCGCCAAATTGACCCCTTTATCTGTATATAATGACCTTCATTGTCTATTTTTATAGTTTTTGTCTTGAAATCTATTTTGTCTAAATAGAGCTAGCTCTGCTCTTTTTTTTTTTTTTTGGTTCCTATTTTCATGGAATATCTTTTTCCATCCCTTTATTTTCATTCTATGTATTTCCTTATAGGTGAAGTGTGTTTCTTGTTGGTAACAGATGGTTGGGTGTTATTTTCTCATCCATTCAGCCACTCTATGTCTTTTGATTGGATTGTTCAGTATGATTAAATTCAATGTTATTATTGGTAAGTAAGAGCTTACTCCTGCCATATTTTAATTTGTTTTCCATTATTGTGGTCTTCTCTCCCTTCATTTCCTTCCTTCCTATGTTCCTTTTAGTAAAGATGATTTTTTTCTGGTGGTATGTTCTCATTTTTTGCTTTTACTTTTTGTGTATCTGTTGTGTGTTTTTTTTTAAATTTGAAGTTACCATGAGGATTGCAAATAATAACACATTATTTTAAACTTAATGACAACTTAACACTGATTGCATAAACAATCTAGCTAACCAACAAGCAAGGAAAAATAAACAAATAAAACACTACACTTTAACTTCATCCTCCTGCTTTTGACCTTTTTGTTGTTTCCACTTATATCTTCTACTATCTATGTCTTCAAAAGTTATTGCAGTTACTATTTTGATTGCTTCAATATTTGGTCTTTCTACTCAAGGTATGAATAGTTTGCAGAGCACAATTACAGTGTTATAATATTCTGTGATTTTCTGTGTACTTACTATTACCCAGGAGTAACATCATTTTCTTTCAGGTTGAAGAACTTCCTTTAGCATTTCTTGTAAGACAGGTCTGGTGGTTATGAAATACCTTAGCTTTTGTTTGTCTGAGGTAGTATTTATTTCTCCTTCATGTTTGAAGGATATTTTCCCTGAATATACTATTCTAGGATGCAGGGTTTTTTTCTTCAGTATTTTTAATATGTCCTGTCATGCTCTCCTACCTGGTAAGATTTCCATGGAAAGATTTGCTGCCAGACATATTGGAGCTCCATTTAATGTTATTTGTTTCTTTTCTATTGCTGCTTTTAGGGTCTGTTCTTCTTGAACTTTGGGAGTTTGATTATTAAATGTCTTGTGGTAGTCTTATTTGGGTTAAATCTGCTTGATGTTCTTTAGCTTTATACTTGCATATTAATATATTTTTCTATGGGATGTTCTTTGTTATTATCCCTTTGAATAAACTTTCTACCCTTATCTATCTTTCTACCTCTTCTTTAAGGCCAATGCCTCTTAGATTTCCCTTTTAAGGCTACTTTCTAGATCTTGTGTGCATGTGTCAGTCTTTTTTATTCTTTTTATTGTCTCCTCTGACTGTGTGTTTTCAAAGAGCCTATTTTCAAGGTCACTAATTCTTTCTTCAGCTTGACCAATTCTGCTGTTAAGAGACTCCGATGCTTTCTTTTGTATATCAATTGCATTTTCAACTCCAGAATTTCTGCTTGATACTGCTTAATTATTTCAATATGTTTCTAAAATTTGTATGATGACATTTTCAATGTATTCTCTGTGTTATCTTGATTTTCATTGCGTTCCCCCAAAATAGCTATTTGGAATTTTCTGTCTAAAATGTCACATATCTGTATTTTTTTTTTAAAGATTGGTTTCTGGTGCCTGCCTTATTTAGTTCTTTTGGTGAGATCATGTTTTCCTGGTTGGTCTTGATGCTTCTGAATTTTTGTTTGTGTCTGGGCATTGAAGGGTTAAGAATTATGGTCATCACAATCTGGGCTTGTTTGTATGTGTCCTTCTTGGGAAGGCTTTCCAGGTATTCAACGGGACTTGAGTGTCTCAGTTTGAGTTTTTGGTCACTGCAGCTATATCTGAATTAGGGGGCACCCCAAGCCCAATTCTGTGGCTCATTCAGACTTGTAGAGGTACTGCCTTGGAGATTCTAAATTTTGGTTCTTATAAATGTGCTTTTTTATGTGTACAGTTGTTCAGTTTTGTGTTCCTGTGTGGAAGACAATTGGTGAATGCTTCTATTTGGTCATTTTGCTGTGCATATACCTATATAGACTGATTTTGTGGGGAAAGACCTTCACGTGTAGGTGGATGCAAGGTCACCATCTGGGTTGGGTGTGACAATTCTTGTTGTTAGGGGAGCACAGCAATGTAGTCTTTGTGCAGCCTTGTCAGATGAGGTTAACCTTGGCAATATTGAAGAGCTTATCAGTAGCCAATTATGTGGGTGTCCACAGAAATGGTGAGGCATGTTGGGTCTTTCATGGAGAAGTCTGTCAGGGTATTGATCTCTTTTACTCTTAAAAGGGAAGTCATGGCTGATGGCATCCCTCTTGGTGTCAGGTGTAGCTCATGGTTGTGTCAGCAGTGTTGGTGTTACTGGTGTCCAGTGCATGGTGCTCAATTAAAAGCCATGAAGCTAGAGTCAGGAGTGTGGGCATACTTTGATGGACAATGTCTCTGGGGTCCAGTGCAGGAGTGACATGAGTGGCTGGAGTGCATTTTTTTAATTGCCACATTGGTGATGGTTAGCAAGACACAGGTGTTTTTGAAGCATCTGGAAAGCTGGGTTGTGAAGCATGGGCATGCACATAGCTGCAGTGACACTTGCAAACAGGATATATGTGTTTCATTTGCAGCAAAATCACCAGTATTCTAGGCATGAAATGTGCAGAGTGGCCATGAAGCCATGATTTAGAGTGCAGCAATGGCTCTGATAAGAGGTTAATAGCAAATAAGCAAGTAATCTGATTTAAAAATGAACAAAGAACCTCAATAGACCTTTCTCCAAAGAAGACATTAAGATGGCCAACAAATACATAAAACAATCCTCAATATCACTAATTATCAGGAAAACACAAATAAATACTCTATGAGATATCATCTAACTAACATCTGTTAGGGTTGCTGTCATAAAAAATGATAGCCAGTGTTGTAGAGACTTTGGAGAAAAGGGAGCTCCCTACGCTGTTGCTGAAAATGTAAATTGGTATAGCCATTATGGAAAACAATATAGGTGTTACTAAGATAATTAAAAATAGAATTTCCATATAATCCAATAATCCGTCTTCTGGATATATATCGAAAACAATTGAAATGAGTATCTTGGGAAAAAATGTGCACTTCCATGTGCATTGCAACATTATTAATAATATCTGAGACATAAAAACAACCTTGTGTTCATCGATAGATGAGTAGATAAACAAAATGTGGCATATAGATATAATATTATTTAGCCCTGAATAAAACGGAGATCCTTCCATTTGAAACAACACACGTACACACATGAGCATTAGGGATATTATAGTAAGTTAAATAACCCGGTAAAAGAAGGGCTAATATTGCATGATTCTACTTATCTGAGTTATGTAAGATAGTGAAAGTCATAGAAAGAAAGTATGGAATGGTGGTTGCCAGGAGATTCTAGAAAGAAAAATGGTAAGTTGCTGACCAATAGGTATAAAGTTTCAGTAATAAAAGATAAATAAGTTCTAAACATTTGCTATACAACATTGTACCTATAGTTAACAATATTCTTTGGTATAATTAAATGTTTGTTAAGAGGTAGATCTTATGTTAGGTGTTTTATCATAATAAAAATTGTGAAGTAGAAATAAAGACCTTTTCAGATGAAAATTGAGGCTATTTGTTGCTACTAGACCTACCTTACAAAAATGTTAAGTTATACAGAAAGAACTTAAATGATATACGTAAGAAACTTGAGTCTGCATAAAGAAATAAAAACCATTGCTGGATAAATAATTGAAGGTAAGATAAAACTTTTATTTTTCTCATTTTTTATTTTAAAAAATCTTTTATTTACTTATTTACCAAATTTAACTTTGTTTAAGTAAGGATACATGTGCAGGTTTGTTATATAGGTAAACCTGTGTCATGGGAGTTTGTTGGACAGATTATTTTACTTAATTAACCTGAAATAAAACATTTTGCTTTAAATGGTAACAACGATGTATTTTATCATATGTATCTATCCACCTATGCTTATATATGCTTATGTATAAGTAAAATAAATGACAATAAAAGTATAACAAATGAGAGGGAGCAATTAAAATATTTTGTTATAAAGTACTTGTACTCCTCATTAAGCAATTAAATCTTATTTGAAATTTGAGTTGGATTAATTGTAAATGTATATTGCAGAGTCTGAGGCAACCACTAAATAAAGAAATAAAAATATACTTGACATTTTGAAAAGATAGAAATTAAAATTAAATGCTCAAATAGAATCACAAACAATGGAAAAAGTGTAAAGAACAAAAATAGAAAAAAGAACAAGAGCAGCAAACAGGAAACATTAATATAATAGATGTTAACCTGTCTATATTGGCAATTGCTTAAAATATAAATAATCTAAATATACAAACTAATAGAAAAAAACTGGCAGAGTATGATAAAACAAGCTAAAGTACATGTTGTCTAGAAAAAACTCAGTTTGTATGTAAATACACATACAGATTAAAAGTTAAAAATTAGACAAAAATGCATCATGCTAACACAAATCATGGAAAGCAGGAGTAGTGGATACTAATGTGGGGCAGAACAGACTTCAAAGCAAAGAAAGTTATCAGAAATAAAGAGGTAAATTTAAAGACATGGAATCAACCAAAATGTCCATCAGTCATAGACTGAATACAGAAAATATGGTAAATACACATCATGGAATACTATGCAGTCATAAAAAGGGACGAGATTATGTCCTTTGCAGGGACATGGATGAAGCTGGAAGCCATTATCCTCAGCAAACTAATGCAGGAACAGAACACCAAACAGCGCGTGTTTTCACTTACAAGTAGGAGCTGAACAATAAGAACACACGGACACAGGGAGGGGAACAACAAACACTGGGGCCTGTCAGGGGTGGGGAAGGGGGAGGGAGAGCATTAGGAAAAATAGTTAACGCTGGCTGGGCTTAACACCTAGGCAATGGACTTACAGGTGCAGAAAACCACCATGGCACACATTTACCTATGTAATGAACCTGCACATTCTGCACATGTACCCCAGAACTTAAAAACAAAAATGATAAACTGGTCAATACTCCAAGAAGATATAACAATTTGTGATGTCTTTGTTCCTAACAAAACTGTCAAATATGTGTGGCAAACACTTATAGAACTGCTAGGAGAAATATATAAATCCATATTACAGTTGGAAATTTTAACATCTCTCAGGAATGGTCAGATCCAGTAGGCAGAAAATCAGTAAGAACATAGCTAAAATTAATAGCATTATCAGTCAACTGAATATAATTGATATCTATAAATTATTCCATCCAACAGCAGCAGAGTACACATATTTCTTAAGATCATATGGAATATTCACAAAGATAAACATTTTAGTTCATAAAACTCACTTTAAATTTTTATTTTTAAAAAAGAAAACATGCAATTTCTGCTCTCCAACCATAATGAAATTAAGCTCGAAGTCAATAACAGAAAGATAGCTGGGAAATCCCAATATACTTAGATTAAATGACATACTTCTAAGTAACAAATTGTGTTAAATAAGACATCTCAAGAGAAATTTAAAAACATTTTAACTAAACAAAAATACAACTTATCAATGTTCGTAAGATACAATGAAAGCAGTGTTAAGATGTTCAGAGAGAATCTAATAATATTTGACACATATACTAGAAAAGAAGAAAGATCTAAAATGAATACCTTAATATTCCACCATAAGAAACTGGGAGAACCTGAATAAATTGTATTCAAATTAAGTAGAAGAAACAGGAAATAAATTGAGATAATCAATGAAAAAAACTAGCTCTTTGAAAAGAAAAATAAAATTGATAAGCCTCTAGCCAGGATAACTAAGAAAAAAAGAGGAAAAATAGAAATTACTAATATCAGAGATGGAGAGGGAAACATCACTACAGATCCAATCGATGTTAAAAGGATAATAATGGAATGTTGTAAACAACTCTATGCTTACAAATTTGATAATGTAGCTGAAATGGACCAGTTCCTTGAAAGGCGTGATCTGCCAAAACTCACACAAGAAGAAATAGACAATCTGAATATACCTAGGTCTAATAAAGTAATTGAAACGATATTTAGTTTCCTCACAGAACATACTGCTTTAGGAACAGATGGATTCACTGTTGAATTCTATCAAACATTTAGAAAGAAATTATAACAATTCTCTACAATCTCTTTTGGAAAATAGAAGCAGAGAAAATACTTTATTTTTCTATAAGACCCACATTATACCAGTACCATAATTAGAAAAAATACACAACATGGAAACTACAAACCAATATTTTCATGAACATAGATGAGCAAACTTAAATGATCAATTATAAAAATAATTATGAAATGCAACCAGCTGATATTTATCCCAAGTACGCTGGGCTGGTTCAACATTCAAACATCAATGAATATAATCAAACACAGCAATAGGCTTGAAGAATCATGTGATCATATCGATAGATTCAGAAAATGCATCTGACAATATCCACACCCAATCATGATAAAAACACTCAGTAATGTGAAAATACAGGATAACTTCCTCAACTTAATGAAGAACATCTACAGTTAGCATCATACTTAATTATGAGAAATTAAAAGCTTTTCCACTAAGATCAGGAAAAAGGCAATGATGTCCCTCTCACAACTGCTTTTTCAACAATGTACTAGAAGTCTGAGGTAATGCAATAGAAAAGAAGACAAAAAGTGTATAGTTTAAGAAGGTAGAAATAAAACCGTATTTGTAAATGGCGTGATTATCTATGTAGAAAATGTGAAAAAATGAAAAAAAAATATTGAACTGATAAACATGTATATCAATTACAGCAAGTTGGAGGATACAAGGTTAGTATACAAAAGTCAATTGATTTATTATATGCCAACAATGAACACATAGAATTTGAAATCCAAAACACATTTTCTTCACCCAAATAATAAAATTATTACAAATCTAACAAATTATGCACAAGACTGACTCAGATGCTTCTCAACTTATGATTAGGTTTAACCCATCATAAGTTGAAAATATCATTTCAAAAATGCATTTAATACATCTAACTTATTAAATATAATAGCCTAGTCTCGCTTAAAGTGCTCAGAACACTTACATTAGCTTACATTAGGCAAAATCATCTAACATAAAGCCTATTTTAAAGTGTTGAATATGCCATGTCATTTATTAAATACTGTTTAAAAAGAGAAATACAGAATGGCTTTATAAGTACCAGAAGTGTGCTTTCTACTGAATGTGTATAGCTTTCACACCATCATAAAGTAGAACAATTGTAAGTCAAACCATTGTAAGTTGGGGATTATCTCTATGAGAAAAGCCACAAAATTCTGATAAAATATATTTTAAAAACTAAATAGAGAGATGTTCCATATTCATGAATAGCATGACAATATTCTCAAGATGTCAGCTCTTCTCAACTTGATATGTAGATTCAGTGCATTTCTAATAAAAATCCCAGCAAGTTATTTTGAGAATATTGATGAACTGATTCTAAAGTTTATGTAGGCATGCAAAAACAAACAAACAAACAAACAAACAAACCAAAAAAACCCAGAATGAACAAGTCAATAATAAAAGAGAAGAATGAAGTGGGAAAATTGACATAGCCTCCTTTTTTTTTTTTTTTTTAACTTTAAGTTTCCGGGATACATGTGCAGAACCTGCAGGTATGTTCCATATATATACGTGTGCCATGGTGGTTTGCTTCACTTATCAACCCATCCTCTAGGTTTTAAGCCCCACATGCATTAGGTATTTCTCTTAATCATAGCCTCCTATTGAAAGAAGATGCCCTCTAGGATTCTCATTGCTACAAAGGAGAAGTCAATGCCTGGTTTCAAACCTCCAAAGGACAGACTGACTCTCTTGTTAGGGCCCAATGCAGCAGTCATTTTAAGTTGAAAACATTGCTCACGTATTATTCCAAATATACTAGGACCCTTAAGAATTATTCTAAATCTACTCTACCTGTGATCTGTAAACAAATAAAAAAAGTTTAAACGTTAATGTTTAAAGCTTTAGGTAAATCACATTAAACAATTTTCTGAATTATATTTTCATTTCACATACGATGACAAGTGATGGTTAACAATATTACATAGTCATACAACTGAGATTTATATCTGCTACAAGAAAAAATTTCAACTTGTCCTTAAATGTCATTTTCAGATTGCTTTTGATGTACCTGCATTCTGTCCTTAAAGTTCAAAAGCTTTCAAAGCTATAAAATGACTTCATAAAGACCTTTTCTTCTATTCAAACTTTAATTAACCAAGACTCATGGGTGTTAGATACTGTGATCAGTTATCTGTTTCAAACCTTGATATTGAAAGCCTTTATAAAATTACAACATGATAGGAAGTTTGCATGTCATATAATATAGTGGTTTCAAAACCTCGACATACATTAGAATCACTTTAGAAGCTTGTTTAAAATTGATATCTCCAGATCACAGTCTGGAGAAATTTGATCCAGGGTTTGTGTAGAGTCTGAGAGTTTATACTGTTTTTAAAGATGATCCAGTCCAAATTCCTACCCATAAAATCAATATCTTCTATAGCATAGCTAACAGTAAAGTTACTAAGTCTGCTGGAAGCCAAAGTGTTGTCCACCTTCATATTAAAGAATCCAGGAGTATGCAGTGCTACTCTAAAAATTTCCAAAACTATAGTCTAAATATAATAAATCTTCATTTGAGGGTTTCTTTCATTACTATGGATTAGAATAAAAATTTACATATATTTCAAGGATAAAAAGTACTCTATTTCAAAGACATTTATGCTAGTGACAGTTTACTTCATGTTAGATCCTAAGTAATCCCAGAGAAATTATTTATTCCCCTCTGCATTTACGTGTATTATAGTGGAAAAATGATTAGTTTTGTTCAATAAAAAACGTACACCTATTAGATTTAAAAGAAACTACCTACACTTCTTCCCAAGACCTGTTTATTATTTTATAATTATAAGTAATTAAATGCATCCACCTTGCTTTAATAGGTAGAGTAACTGACTTTTGCTCTGATTAACTGAGTATCTTATGGAAACTGAATTATTTTTCAACTTATAAATTCTACACATTTAGTCTTAGATATCGAAGTGTAGAAACAATAGGATATTAACTCTAGTACAGTAAATTTTGCTTGCGTCAACCAGCATTATTGGTTTGATACTGTGAGTTATATTTTGCTGAAAGCCAAGTGGAGCCAAAAAGAAAAAAGAAAGGAATAAAAAAGGAAGGAAGGAAAGAAGGAAGAAAGGAAGGAAGGAAAGGATGGAGGGATGGAGGAGGGAAGGAAGGGAGAAAGAAAGAAAGAGAGTGAGGAAGGAGAGAAGGAAGGGAGGTAGAGGAGAAAGGAAGGAAGGAGAGGAAGGAAGTAATGAAGGAAATAAGGAAGAAAGAAAGGAGAGAAGAAAGAGGTATGAGAGGAGAAAGGGAGGGAAGGAACAAAAAGGAAAAGAAAGAAAATAAAAGCGAGAAAATAAACATTACTCTTAATTAGGAATTGACAGATAGTGAGGTTCTAGTTAATTGGCGTTTTTCTGTGTAGAATTAGAAATGGAATCCTACTATGCAGGTAAAAGGAAACAGGTCCTTAATAGCATTTATCATTTCCATACTTTTTTGTTGTTATCCTTTCCATTAGAAAAGCAAAACACAATAAACCAGAATGACTAAATTCACTCCATTGCTAGAGCTGGTAAGGTGTCTGCTACTCTTCTTAGATGTGGCAAGCAGGGTCTTAATGGGAATCCCATCAAATCTTATAATTATATAATAAAAGTTTACGATTAAAAGGCGCCTCTGAGTGCCCAATGCTTTATTCAATATGGGAACCCCCTCTACAGTATCCCTAACAAAGTTCCATTTAATGTTTGAAAACTCAATTGTCAGGAAGTTTACTACCTAAAAAAAGAACAGTTGACTTCTGTACAGCTTCAATAGTTAGAATATTCTTCCTTAATTTGTGTGAAATCAGACCTCCTATAACTTTCACATATGAGGTATTATGTCCAACCTCTATAGCTAAAGTGTATTCTTTACATAAGTAGTTTCATAAGATGCTCTAGAGGAAAAAAGAAGGGAAGTATTTTTAGTGAAATATATCTAAAATGTGCAGTCTTCTTCACCTCTCATTTAGATGATTCAAAATAATAAGTTTATTAAAGCCTTAGAAATTGTAATGTAAGGATACCGATTTAAGTTTGATTAACTTACCATTCCCCAAACTTAATTGACAATAGTATCCTTTTATTTCAGAGACATATATTAACATAATTTGAAATGATAATTCCTTGGAACACACTTTGAGAAGCATTGCTCAACAAAAATACATACTCTATTTCCCATGTGTTAGCTTTAAAACAAAAATATAAACTTGCAATTTATATATATTTTATGTATATATATATAACCAAGTAATTTAATGTTTTATCTACATTCACCTCCCCCTTTATTATAAGATATAGATTTAGTATTGTAGTAGCATGGTTTGGAGCCTAGTTTACCATCCCATTAGTCCCTCTCTTGCATTGCAGTTTACCTACCTAAAAGAAGGTGCCCATAGTTGTTTTTCTACATTTTGAAAGGTAATTCTTTTATAAATCAGTTTTTTGTTCCTTTCATTTCTGTTTACTATTACGATTTGGGGGAAAATTCTATCTTTAAAGCCCAGTAAATCTGCTAACTTGGTCAATACACTTATTAATTCAAATAATATGTATTGGGCATTTAATATGTGGCAGGCATTTATCTGTGTTCTTGGACTATATTAGTAAATAAAAGCAATATCCTAGCCTTCATGGAACCTACATTCTAGCGACAAGCAGCAAAAAGTAAACAATAAATAAAATAAGACTACTATGTTATTTACTAGAAGGTGATAAATGCTATGTATTTTTAAAAGTAGAGCAGAATGTAAGA
Source organism: Homo sapiens (assembly GCF_000001405.40). Lineage (NCBI taxonomy): Eukaryota > Metazoa > Chordata > Mammalia > Primates > Hominidae > Homo > Homo sapiens. The sequence goes on along the minus strand of NC_000023.11, from coordinate 81,627,699 downwards.
TACTGTGAGCCCCACATGATTTAAAATAAGTTGATTAGGATAGAAAGATTCATCAAAAAAAAAAGATTCAGAGAAATTGAAATATTTAGCCACACAGACTACTGGAGGGATTATTCAAGCAGAGGTTACAGCCAGTGCAAAGACTCTAGTAGGGATATATCTGTTTCGTTCAAGGAATAGCAAGGAGGTCAGCATGGTCAAAGCTGAGTGAGAAAGGGGTAGTTGTAGGAAACTAGGTTAAAATGATATTGTGGAGGGCAGGAGGGAATGGGGACAGTATGTCATGCAGGGTACTGTAGTTTGCTGTAAAGACATTAGCTTGTTTTCATAGTGAAATTGGAAGCCATTTCAGTGTTTTAAGCATAGCAATGACATGATTTAACTACATTTCAATAGGCTACTTTGTAGAAATGCCAAACAGGCAGCTGGGTATCTGAGTCTGGAGTTCGGGAGATTGGTCCTACCTAGATGTATAAATTTGGGCATCTTGAGCACACAGAATATATTTAAATCTATAAGACAAGATGAGAACATGAAAGGAGTGAGTGTTCTTAGAGAAGAGGACTAAGGATGAACCCTGGGGCATACTAACATTTAGAAGTCTAGGAGAAAAAGGAAGATGATTAAATGAAAATGTAACTCTCCCATATTTTCTCTATTATATTTTAAGGATAAATGTAGAGGGTCAACACCTAAACGGCAAAACATTGACTCAGTCTGCTGTTCCAAAAAATGGTAAAAATATTACCCATATGTAATTTGTGATAAGAATAGTGCCTTCATGTTCTTCTATCCTTATCAAAATTTGCTCTCCAGTTTTTTGTGATAAACATATATATATAAATATCAATGATCACTTAAAATATGACCTTTTCTAGTGTGTTACTATTTTTAACGGGTTGCAACATCATATTGTAAAGGAATGAAATATCTTTAGGTAGATATCAGTAAACAGATGAAAGCCAAGTGCATTTTTGGTCCAGGAAGTTTTCTTAAATGGTTAACTACTCCCCATATACATTAGGCTCAATCTAGGTAATCACATTATTTGGAGGTAGAGTAAAATATAAATTTATGCTCTATTAATTTGGAATTTATGATAAAACCCATGTGTTAGAGTAGCAAAGGTAAATAATTGGTTATATCAATGCTCTGCCTGAGCTATGACTCCAGGAACCAGAACCAGGCACAGAATTACCAGGCTGAACCAAGACTATGAGCATATAGAAAAAAACGGGTCTGATGTCCAGGATATAATTGAAGTTACCTCAGAAAGCAAGGAACTATCACAAATATCAAGTCCAAAAGGATACATGGAGAGTAAAAACTAAATCCAAAACAAAGAATCAGCAACAATAGTCAGCCAAGAAGAAAAACAAATGTGACAATTATTGTTTTCTGTGTTCTATGTAAGAAAATAGGTTTTGTTACCAAACTCCATGGTATGCTAAAATTTACCTATTCTCCTTAACAGAACAAACTTATTTAATCTCACATTTTCTGAAAAATAACTGGCATTCCAATTATATGTTTACCTCTTCATTAAAGTAGCTTTGATCCTTTGCAAATGCTATATTGACCCCACTGATGGATTGTGTGTAAAGCTATTTCTTTTAAAACATTCTGTCTTTCAGGCCTGTATTTCTCCCAGATTAGTTTAAATTAATGAGGTTTCAGTGTAAATTCAACTTAGTCTTGAGTCAAGTAACATAGTCCCTTACCATTTGAGGAGAGAAAAGAGCATAATTGTAGGAGAACAAAACTGAAACTCTCCTTGGAGACAAAATTTATTTCATAATAGTTGTTGATGATAAGAATACAAATGATTGGATATTAGAGACTCATTCTCCCTTGAAACTTTTGTCTATAATACAAGTTGAAAACAAGGAAATGTAATACTGACTTTCAGCACCCTCTCATATGTGGTTGTTATGTGTAGTTTACATAAAAACAAACATAGATAATATAACTAGAGCGTGTGTCATCTGCTGATTGTAAAGCCCTAGGGCCTTGAGGGACTATAGGCAGTAGCCTGAGAATGGGTATACGGCCTTGGGTGAGAACCAGTGCTGTGCTGGCTTCAGATCTGACCCAGCTCAGTTATAGCATTAGTGGCAGCAGGGTTGCTTGTGCCACTCCAGCTCTAGCTTTAGGTGGCTCAGAACAGAGAGACTCTGTATGTTTGGGAGAAAGTAAGAGAAGAGGACAAGTGTTTCTGTCTGGTGATCCAGAGAATTCTCCTGGATCTTGTCCAAGACCATCAAAGTGGCACCTCTACAAGTCTGCAAGAACCACAGTATTACTGGACTTGGGGTGCCCACTAAAACAGATACAGCTTAGATTATGACACTCAAGTCTTTTATAATATCTGAAAAACCTTTACAAGAAGGATGGCTATAAATAAGCCCAGACAGTGAAGACTACAATAAATACATAATTCTTCAATGCCCAGACACCAAAGAGCATCTACTAGCATGAACATCATCCAGTAAGGTTTGAACTCACCAAATGAACTAAATAAATCACCAGGGATGAATTCTGTGGAAACAGATATGTAAAAGGAAACTCAACAAAATTAGGAATAACACAGAGAAGGAATACTTAAATTTTGTAGAGAAATGTAACAGAGAGATTGAAATAATTACAAGGAATCAATCAGAAATTCTGAAGATGAAAAATGCAATTAGCATGCTAAAGAATGCTTCAGAGTACTTTAATAGCAGAATACATAAAAGCAGAAGAAAGGAGTAGTGAGCTTCAAGACAGAGTCTTTGAAAATACCGTCAGAGGAGACAAAGGAAAAAAAATTAAAATAAAACAATGAAGCATCTCTAAGGGATTTAGAAAATAGCCTCAAAGGGGCAAATCTCAGAATTATTAGCCTTAAAGAGGAGGCAGAAGAATAAATAGAAGCAGAAAGTTTGTTCAAAGGAATAATAACATGAAACTTCCCAAACCTAGAGAAAGAAATCAATATACAAATACAAAAAGACTACAGAACTCCATTGAGATGTAACCCAAAGAAGACTACCTTAAGGTATTTAATAAACTAGCTCACAAAGATCAAGCATAACAAAAGAAATCTAAAAGCAGCAAGATAAAAGAAACAAATAACGTGCAACAGAGCTCCAACACATCTGTGGCAGCAGACTTTTCAGTGGAAACCTTACATGCCAGGAGAGAATAACATGACATATTTAAAGTGCTGAAGAAAAAAATTAATGAGAAATAAATAATAACCTGAAGGTATTAAACTCACTAGTAATAATAAGTACACACAAAAACACAGAACATTATAACACTGTAACTGTGGTATGTAAACTACTTTTATCTGAAGTAGAAATAATAAATAATAAAACAATTAAAAGTAATAACTACAACTTTTCAAGACATAATACAATAAGATATAAATAGACACAAGTTAAAAAGTGGGGTATGATGTCACGATATAGAGTTTTGTTAGTTTTCTTTTTGCTTGTTTGTTTATTCAAATAGTGTTAAGCTGTTATCAGGTTAAAATAATGGGTTAGAAGATAGTATTTGCAAGCCTCATGATAACCTCAAAGCAAAATCATATATTAGATACAAAAGAAATAAAGAGCAAGAAACTAAATCATATCAGTAAAGAAAACACCCTCACTTGAGATATACAGGAATGAAAGAAAGAAGGAAAAGAAGACCCCTCCCACCCACACACACACAAAATTAAAAACCCAGAAAAACAAATAACAAAATGGGAGGAGTAAGTCCTTACTTAACAATAATAACCAGTAAATAAGTTAAACTCTTCACTCAAAAGATACAGACTGCTTGAACAGAAGTACAAACAAGAACCATTGATTGGTTGCCTACAAGAAATACACTTCTAAAAAGGCACACAGAGACTAAGAACAAAGGGATGAAAAAGATATTTCATGTCAATGGAAACCAAAAAAAGACAGGAGTTGCTATACTTATATCAGACATAATAGATTTCAACAAAAAGCTATAAGAGAAAAAGAAGGACACTATGTAATGATTAAAAGGTCAATCCAGCAAAAAATGCAACAATTTTATATATATTTGCACCCAAAACTGGAGCACCCAGATATAAAAAGGTAATGTTATTAGAGATTGGCCCCCAAGACAGTAATAACTGCAGACTTCAACACCCAACTTTCAGAATTGGACAGATCTTTCAGACAGAAAATCAACAAAAATACTTCAGATTTAATCTGAAATATAGATGAAATTGATCTAATATATATTTACAGAACATTTTATCCAAAAGCTGCGAAGTGCATATTCTTTTCCTCAGCACATATATCATTCTTAAAGATAGACCATAGGTTAGCTCAAAAAACAAGTCATAAAACATCCAAAAATTTAAATAATATCAAGCATCTTCTCTGACCACAATACAATAAAACTAGAAATTGATAACAAGAGGAATTTTGGAAACTATAGAAATATGTAGAAACTAAACATTATGCTTCTGAATTACCAGTTGGTCAATGAAGAAATTAAGAAAAAAATTGAAAAAATGTTTGAAAGAAATGAAAATGGAAACATAACATAAGAAAACCTATGGGATACAGCAAAAGCAATACTAAGAGGGAAGTTTATAGTGATAAATGCCAACATCAAAAATGATGAAAAACTTTAAATTAGCAATTTAATGATACATCTTAAAGAAGTAAAAAAGCAAGAACAAACCAAATGCAAAATTAGTAGAAGAAAATAAACAATAGATATCAGAGCAGAAATAAATGAAATTGAAATGAAACAAAAAATACAAAAATTAACAAAACATAAAGTTGTTTTTTAAAATTTAAAAAAAAATGACAAACCTATGGCCAGACTACCCATGAAAAAAAGAGAAAAGATCAAAAAAGAAAAATCAAAAATGAAAAATAAGACATCATAGCTAATACTGCAGAAATTTAAAAGATCAAGATTGTAAGAGGAAAAATGGCAGATAGCAGGCAAGACTAACTTCTAACTCCCACTCTCTGATATACAGAGCATCATGTGGAGACTCACATCATGAACTTTTGCTCCAATAACTACCACAGAACATATCAGGAGAGAGAAAAGAATCCACAGACCCTTTGAAGGAGGTGGATTGCTGCTGCAGACTCTGTGGAACAGCCTAGGAAATCTGAAGAAAAAGAACATAATCTACTGGGAGAACTATAGCCCCACTCATCACCTGATCCTCCATATACTACCACAGCTGATGCACTCTTGAAGGCACCCCCTCCCGTCTGGAGGCCAACTAACACAAAACCAAAGCGCTTAACAAAAATACAACCAAGGACCTCACAGAATCCATTTCATTCCACTGCTACCTCCACCGGTGCAAGTGCTGGTATCCATGGTGAGAGACCTGAAGATTAATCATATCACAAGACTCTGCATACATTCCCCAGTACCAGCCCAGAGCCAGATAGCTCCAATGAATGGCTAGATCAAAAAGAGAAATAACAATCACTGCAGTTCGGCTCTCAGGAAGCCCCATCCCTACAGGAAAGGGAAGAGCACCACATCAAAGGAGCACTCCGTGGGACAGAAGAATCTGAGCAGCAGCCCTTGAGTCCAAGATCTTCCCTCTGACATAGTCTACCCAAATGAAAAGTAACCAGAAAAACAATTCTGGTAACATGACAAAACAAGATTATTTAATACCACCAAAAGATAACACTAGCTGACCATCAATAGATCCAATTCAAGACAAAATCTCTGAACTGTCAGAAAAAGAATTTAGAAGGTCAGCTATTAAGCCAATCAAGGAGGCACTGGAAAAAGATGAAGTCAACATAAAGAAATTTTTTTAAAAAAAGATACAGGTTATGAATGGAAAAATCTCCAATGAAATAGATAACATAAATAAAAAAATCACAGCGTCTGAAAATGAAGGGCAGACTTAGGGAATTGCAAAATGCACTGGAAAGTCTCAGCAATAGAATCAAACAAGTATAAGAAAGAACCTCAGAGCTCAAAGATGAGGCTTTAGAATTAACCCTATCTGTATTAGTCAGGATTCTCTAGAGGGACAGAACCAATAACATATATATATATACACACACGTATATATATACATATATGTACATATATACACACGTATATATGTACATATATACGTATATACGTATATTTATACGTATATATATACGTATATATATACGTGTATATATATATATAAAGGGGAGCTTAATAAGAAGTATTAACGCACACGCTCACGAGGTGAGGTCCCGGAATAGGCTGTCTGCAAGCTGAGAAGCAAGAAAGCCAGTAAGAGTCCCAAAGCTAAATAATTTGGTGTTGGAAGTTCAAGGGCAGGAAGCATCCAGCATGGGAGAAAGATGTAGGCTCGGAGGCTAAGACAGTCTAATCTTTTCACATTCTTCTGCCAGCTTTTATTCTGGCCATGCTGGCAGCTGATTACATTGCACCTACCCAAATTGAGGGTGGGTCTGCCTTTCCCAGTCCACTGACTCAAATGTTAATCTCCTTTGGCAACACCCTCAGAGACACACCAAGGAACAATACTTTGCATCCTTCAATCCAATCAAGTTGACACTAAATATTAACCATCACAAGTCCAATCCTTGTCAACTTGAACCCATACATATCTTCTGAAATCATACATAATCTTTAAATAAAGACAATAATAAGGTCATAATTATGCCTAACATAATACAACTATCCTTCATACAACTGGAAATGCACCAATCCCTGACACAAATGCTATTACATAAAGTTAACAACACTTAAATGCTGATATGAAATTAATAAATCTTATGTCACATGATAAAGGATAAAGGAAAAAACACTGAAGATATTTTCCTAGTACAAGTGTATACATGAACAAACATGTTCTTAACTAAATAAGGAGGAAATACTCATGTCAATTACAGTCATCGTTTCAGCAGCTGGTCTTCTGGTCATAGCTGGTATTGACTACCTTCTTCTACTACCCATTTTGTATTACCTCTGTCTTCAGCAAGCACCATAGCAAGTCGTGATTTTACCTGGTGAAGTGACCCAAACTTTCATTCCTGAAGTGTCTGGGCCATTTGTAGTCCTGCCTGGACTGGGCTGTTGCAGTTTCCCATTGACCTCAATCAAATTGCATGGTAATACTAAGAGACACCCTAAGAGATCTCCTACATTACAAGCATAATCTCCCTTACCTCAATTGTGGAATAGTAGACTAATTTTATCGTGACAGTGCAGGTCAATCACTTCACCCAACATTGTAACTCCCTTCTTAGCCTGTTGACTTAAAGGTAGGAGGAGCCCAAAGTGGCCAGGTGGCAATCTTAACTTCCAGTTTAATATAATCATTGTGGTGCCTCCTGGTGGCAGAGTTCATCCCTCTGGAACTAAGACCTCTAAGTCAGCAGAATGTAATGTTACGGGAACAGGAAGCAAAAATGTTGCTAGTGGGTCACTTGGGGTGATGGTGAGTGGTGCCACTTACACTTCCACCCCTTGATTCCTGGACCCCTGAATCCTGGCTATGGGAGAAACAGTACCAAATATTGGATGCTGATTCAGAGCATACACAGCCTTGTGAAGAACTGTGCCCCAGCCCTTCAAAGTATTGTCACCTAGTTGGCATTGTAATTGTGACTTCAAAAGGTCATTCCACCGTTCTATCAATCCAGCTGCATCAGGATGATGGGGAATATGGTAAGACCAGTGAATTCCATGAGCATAAGCCCACTGCTGCACTTCTTTTGCCATAAAATGAGTGCCTTGCTCAGGGGCAATGCTGTGTGTAATACCATGATGGTGAACAAGGCATTCAGTCAGTCCACGGATGGCATTCATGGCAGAAGCATTGCATGAAAGATAGGCAAACCCATATCTGGAGTAGGTTTCTATTCCAGTGGGGACAAACCTCTGCCCTTTCCATGATGGAAGAGGTCCAATATAATCAACCTGCTACCAAGTAGCTGACTGATCACCCCAAGGAATTGTGCCATATCAAGGGCTCAGAGTTGGTCTCTGCAGCTGGCAAATTGGGCACTCAGCAGTGGCTCTAGCCAGGTCAGCTTTGGTGAGTGGAAGTCCATGTTGCTGAGCCCATGTGGAACTTCCATCCATGCCACCATGGCCGCTTTGTTCATGGGCCCCTTGGGGGAATGAAAGGGGTGGCTGGGGAAAGAAGCTGAGTGGTGTCCACAGAATGAGTCATCCTATCCATTTGATTATTAAAATCCTCCTCTGCTGAAGTCACCCTTTGGTGAGCCCTCACATGGGATACAAATATTTTTACAGTGTTTGACCACTAAGAGAGGTCCATCCACATACCTCTTCCCCAAATTTCTTTGTCACCAATTTCCAATTTTGTTTCTTCCAAGTCCCTGACCATCCAGCCAAACCATTGGCTACAGCCCATGAATCAGTATATAATCGCACATCTGGCCATTTCTCCTTCCATGAAAAGTGCACAACCAGGTGCACTGCCCGAAGTTCTGCCCACCAGGAAGATTTCCCTTCACTGCTTTCCTTCAAGGATGTTATAGATAGGGGCTGTAGTGCTGCAGCTGTCCACTTTCAGGTGGTGCCTGCATATCATGAAGAAACCTCTGTGAACCAGGCCCTAATCTTCTCTTCCTCTGTCAACTGATTGCACCCATGAGGCCATTGGTGCAAGCTGGGGGAGAGAAGGCAGGATGGCAGAAGTGGACCTTGGGTATTTGAGCTACTTTCTCATGTAACTTACTTGTGCCTTTAGGACCTGCTCAAGCCCGATCACATATATATGACTTTTATTTGATTTTGGAATGCTGCTGTACACATCCCACTTTATGGCTAGATGGGTGAGAAAGCATGCAGTTCATAATAGGCAGTTCAGGTCACATGGTGACTTGATGACCCATAGTCAAACGTTCAGTTTCCACCAAAGTCCAGTAATAGGCCAAGAGCTGTCTCTCAAAGGAAGAGTAGTTATCTGCAGGAGATGGCAGGGCCTTCCTCCAAAATCCTAGAGGCCTCCTCTGTGATTCACCTATGGGGGCCTGCCAAAGGCTGCAAACAGCATCCCTATCTGCCAGTGACACCTCAAGCACCACTGAGTCTGCTAGGTCATATAGCCCAAGTGGCAGAGTAGCTTGCACAGCAGCCTGGACCTGTTGCAGAGCTTTAAGCACCCCACTCAAAACTGGCAGCCTTTCTGGTCACTCCATAAATGGGCCAGAGTGACACACCAAGATAAGGAATGTGTTGCCTCTAAAAGCCAAGTAGGCCCACTAGGCACTGTGCCTCTTACTTGGTTGTAGGAGGGGCCAGATGCAGCAACTTATCCTTCATTTTAGAAAGAATATCTTGACAGGCCCCACACAACTGGACCCCGAGAAATTTTACTGAGGTAGAAGTTCCCTAAATTTTAGTTGGATTTATTTTCCATCCTCTGGCTTGCAAATGTCTCACCAATAAGTCCAGTGTATTTGCTACTTCTTGCTCACTGGATACAATCAGCATAATATCATCAATGTAATAGACCAGTGTGATATCTTGTGCAAGGAAAAAGTGATCAAGGTCTCTCTGAACAAGGTTATGACACAGAGCTGGAGAGTTAATATACCCCTGAGATAGGAGAGTGAAGGTGTATTTCTGTCCTTGCCAGCTGAAGGCAAATTGCTTCTCATGGGCCTTATGGACAGGAATGGGAGAAAAAGGCATTTGCCAAATCAATGGCTACATACCAGGTATCAGGAAATGTGTTAATCTGTTCAAGCAATAAAACCACTTCTAGTACAGCAGCTGCAATTGGAGTCATCACTTGGTTAAGCTTATGATAATCCACTGTCATTCTCCAATATCCATCTCTCTTCTGCACAGGCCAAATAGGAGAGTTGTGGTGGAAATCATCACCCCTGCATCTTTCAAGTCTTTGATGCTTGCACTAATCTCCTCAATCCCTCCAACGATGCAATATTGTTTTTGATTTACTATTTTTCTATGTGGAGTCAGCTCTAATGGCTTCCATTTGGCCTTTTTCACCATAATAGCTCTCACCCTACCAGTCAGGGAGTCAATATGGGGGTTCTGCCAGCTACTAAGTATGTCTATGATAAGTACACATACTGGCACTGGGAAATGACCACACAGGATGAGTTCAGGGACCCACTGGACTGACTGTAAGTCGTACCTAAGCTAAAACTTCATTAATTACCTCACCCCCCGCCAAGCCCCTACTTTAACTGGAGGACCTGACATCTTGGGTCCACTGGAATCAACGTCAGCTCAGAGCCAGTGTCCAGTAGTCCCTGAAAGATCCTATCATTTCCCTTTCCCCAGTGCACAGTTACCCTGGTAAAAGGAGGTCTCCTTGGGGAGGGATGGGAGAAAGATTAACATCACACATTTTTGGTAGTGTAGTGGGGTACCTTCTCAAGGGCACCTAGCCTCCCTTTCATTCCAGGAGTTCTTGGTCTGTAAACTGGCTCGAGTCTGGAAATTGATTGAGGGGTTGTGATTCTGTTTTTATATTTCAAATTAGTCTTTTGTCCACTCAATCTGGAAGTTTTCTGCTTATATAAATTAAGTAAGAATGCAATAGGCTTCCTATCAATTTCACTTTTAGGAACACCATAATTAGCCAATGCCAGAGCTCTATGTGAGTCAAACTATTCTGATTGCTGCTTTGCCTCTGCTGTCCATTATGGTAGCTATGCCCACCTTGTCTTTGACAGTTGTCTTTAACAGTTAGTGCTGCCACTTGGCCCCTGCTTCCTCGAAATCCAATTATTCCTATTGCATTCAATTTTGTAGTTCAGTGACTGCGGTTTCCACTGTTCGATCTGTCATACAGAGAAGAGCAATCACAGTGCTCTTCAAAGATGCAGGTGTTCCCCTCACAAATCTATTTTGCAAAGTATTGGTCAAGGGTATATTCTCTGGACCCTCCCAGCTGGCATTTGAAGGTCTAAAGTGACTAATCCACTTCTGCACCCCAATCTCCCTAAGCCTTTGGATCCATTTCTGTATATTAAACCAAGGCAGATCAGACATTTCTAGTTCGCTCACAGCGGGCCATCTTTTAATCCACATTTCTGCTAACCAAGAAAATAAACTAATAGAACCTTTTTTTAACTCATCAGAGTTTACAACCTCAGTGTCCCCAGCTTCATCAGTGTCCTCCCCCACGTTCCCATTCCAAGGTGCAGGGTCCCATTCTTTTACAATCAATGCCCTTACTTTAACAGTAGACATCTGGTGAGGCTGTGAGTGCACCTTTTGTTGCAGGTCAGCCACTTGCATGATAAGAGCTTGTGTCTGATTTTCTGAAATTTCAGCTCTTCCTCTGCAGGAGATAAGATTCTGACTCCAGGCAATCTTAGAAGATTTGAGGCTCAGTACCTGCTTCTGAAGCTGGGAGACAGAATCCCTGAGTTCATTATTGTTTTTTCATCATTTTGTCCAGTGAACTTAGGAGCAATCAATCAACTTGGTTATATTTTTTGGTTTTCCACATATGGTCAAAAGTGTTATGTACAGATTCACTAAACGTCTTGCCTCTCACAAATGCTGAGTCAGGAGTATCAAATGCACTTATTTTGCATAACCCTTTAAACAGTTCACACCAAGGACTATCATTGTTCTCCATACTATTCGAAGTAGAGTCCTTAGCATTTTGGGGTCTAATCATATTAAGCAGCAAACTCCAGGAACCCCAAAACCAGTGAAATGACTGCAGCCTTAATGTTCTTTTCCTCTAGAACCCCTCCTGGTACCAAGATCTGTATTAGTCAGGGTTTTCTAGATAGACAGAAGTAATAAAATGATGTATATATAAAAGGAGTTTATTATAAAGTATTAACTCACACGATCACAAGGTGAGGTTCCACAATAGGCTGTCCATAAGCTGAGGAGCAAGGAAGCCAGTACAAGTCTCAAAGCTAAAGAACTTGGTGTCCAATGTTTGAAGGCAGGAAGTATCCAGCATGGGACAAAGATGTAGGCTCAGAGGCTAAGCCAGTCTAGTTTTTTCACACTCCTCTGCCTGCTTTTATTCTGGCCACACTGGCAGCTGATTAGATTGGGCCCACCCAGATTGAGGGTGGATCTGCCTTTCCCAGTCCCTAGACTCAAATGTTAATCTCCTTTGGCAGTGCCCTCAAAGACACACCCAGGAACAATACTTTGCATTCTTCAATCCATTCTAGTTGACACTCAATATTAACCATCCAGCAATCCAACAAAAAACAATGAAAAAGAATTTTTTAAAATAAACAAAGCCTCCAAGAAATTTGGGATTATGTTAAATTACCAAACCTAACAATAATTGATGTTCCTGAGGAAGAAGGGGAATCTAAAATTTTGGAAAATGTATTTGAGGGAATAATCATGAAAAACTTCTCCAGCCTTGCTAGAGGTTGAGACATCCAAATACATGAAGCTCAAAGAAAACCCAGAAAATTCATCGCAATAACATTATCACCTAGGCACATAGTCATCATCTTATCTAAAGTAAAGATGATGGAAATAATCTTAAGAGCTGTAAGTCAAAAACATCAGGTAACCTATAAAGAAAAACCTCTCAGATTAACAGCAGCCTTGTCAGCAGAAACCCTACCAGCTAGAAGGGATTGAGGTTTTATCTTTAGCTTTCTTAAACAAAACAATTATCAGCCAAGAATTTTGTATCTAATGAAACTGAGTTTCATAAATGAAGAAAAGATACAGCAATTTTTAGACAAATGCTGAAATAATTCACCATTATCAAGCCAGAACTACAAGAACTGCTGAAAGGAGCTCTAAATCTTGAAAAAAAATCCTTGAAAATCACCAAAATATAATCTCCTTAAAGCATTAATCTCCCAGGACCTGGAAAACAATAACACAATGAAAAATAAAACAAAGTACTTAGGCAACACATAGAAAAATGAATAGAAAAGAACCTCACTTCTCAACACTAACATTGAATGTAAATCACTGAAATGCTCCACTGAAAAGATACAGAATGACAAACAGATAATAATTCACCACCCAAGTATCTGCTGTCCTCAATATACTCACCTGACACATAAGGAGTCACAAAAATTTAAAATAAAGTGGTGGAGAAACATATTTCATGCAAATGGACACTGAAAGTGAACAGGAATAGCTATTCTTATATCAGAAAAAATAAACTTTAAAGCAGCAGCAGTTAAAAAACACAAAGAGGGACATGATATAATGATAAATGAGTAGTCCAACAGGAGAATATCACAATCCTAAATACATATTCACCTAAAACTGGAGCTCCCAAATTCATAAAACAATTACTTCTAGACCTAAGTAATGAGATAGAAAGCAACACAATAATAGTGGGGGACTTCTATACTCCCATGACAGCACTAGACAGGTCATCAAGAGAGAAAGTTAACAAAGAGACAATAGACTTAAACTATAACCTAGAACAAATGGACTTAACAGATATTTATAGAACATTCTACCCAACAACTGCAGAATATACATTCCATTCATCAGTGCATGGAAAATTATCTAAGATAGACTATATGATAGGCCACAAAACAAGTCTCAACAAATTTAAGAAAATTGAAATTATAACAAGTACTCTCTCAGACTACAGTGCAATAAAATTGGAAATCAACTTCAACAGTCAAACCCTCAAAACCATGCAAATACATGAAAATTAAATAACCTCCAGAACGATTGTTGTGTAAACAACAAAATCAAATTGGAAATAAAGTATTCTTTAAACTGAATAATAAAAGAGACACAAGTTATGAAAACCTCTGGAATACAGAAAAGTAAGTGCTAAGAAGACAGTTCATAGCGTTAAATGCCTACATAAAAAGTCTATAACAGCACGAATAGACAACCTATGGTCACATGTAAAGGAGCTATAGAAACAATAACAAACCAAACCCAAAACCAGCAGAAGAAAACAAATAACCAAGATCAGAGCAGAACTAAATGAAATTGAAACAAACAAAAAATATATAAAAGATAAGTGAAGGAAAAAAGCTGCTTCTTTGGAAAGATAAACAAAATTTATAGACCATTAGTGAGATTAACCAAGAAAAAAAGAGAGAAGACCCAAATAAACTCAGTTAGAGATGAAAGGGGATATATTATAACTGATCCCACAGAAATACAAAAGACCATTCAAGGCTACTATGAATATGTTTATGTGCATAAACTAGGAAACCTAGAGGAGATGAATAAATTCTTGGAAATATAAAACCCTCTTAGATTAAACCAGGAGAAATAGAAACTCTGAATAGACCAATAACAAGCAGGAAGATTGAAATGGTAATTAAAAAGATAGCAACAACGAAAAAAAGATCCAGGACCAGATGGATTCACAGCTGAATTATATCAGACATTCACAGAATTTTTATCAATCTTATTGACACCATTCCACAATAGAAAAGGGAAGCACCCCTAAATAATTCTATGAAGCCAGTATCACCCTAATACCAAAACCAGGAAATGACATAACAAAAAAAGAAAACTGCAGACCAATATCCAGGATGAACGTAAATGCAAAAATCCTCAACAAAATACTACTCAACTGAATCCAATAGCATATGAAAAAGATAATCCACCTTGATCAAGTGGGTTTCATACAAGAAATATAGGGAAGGTTTAACATATGCAAGTCAGTAAATGTGATATAGCATATAAACAGATTTAAAAACAAAAACTATATGATCCTCACAATAGATTCAGAAAAAGGATTTGACAAAATCCAGCATTCCTTTATGATTTAAACCTTAAAGACTCGTCCAAAAAGCTCCTAGAAGTGGTAAATAAATAAGTTTCAGGATACAAAATCAATGTACACAAATCAGTATCCCTGCTATACACCAACAGCCACCAAGTTGAGAATCAAACCATGAACTCAAACCCCTTTGCAATAGCTAAAAAATATATAAAATACTTAGGAATATACTTAACCAAGGATGTAGAAGACCTCTACAAGGAAAAATACAAAACACTGGTGAAAAGAATCACAGAACACACAAACAAATGAAAACACATCCCATGCTCATGGATGAGTAGAATCAATATTATAAAAGTGACAACGCTGCCAAAAACAGTATAGAAATTCAATGCAATTCTCATCAAAACACCATCATTATTATTCACAGAACTAGAAAAAGCAATTCTAAAATTCATTTGTAACCAAAAAAGAGCCCACATAGCCAAAGCAAAACTTAGCAAATTGAACAAATCTGGAGGCATCACATTATTCCATTTCAAACTATACTGTAAGGGCACAGTCACCAACACAGCATGGCGCTGGTATAGAAACAGGCATACAAAACAATGGATAAGAATAGAAAACCCAAAAATAAAGCCAAATATTTGCAGTTAACTGATCTTCGACAAAGCACATAAAAATATAAAGTGGTGATAAAACGCCCTATTCAACAAATGGTGCTGAGATATTTGAAAGCCACATGTAGAATAAAACTGGATCCTCATCTCTCACCTTATACAAAAATCACCTCAAAATGGATCAAAGACTGAAATCTAAGACCTGAAACCATAAAAATTCTAGAAGATAACATAGGAAGAACCCCTCTAGACATTGGCTTAGGCAAAGACTTCATGAGCAAGAACCCAAAAGCAAATAGAACAAAAACAAAGATAAATAGATGTGAGTTAATTACACTAAAAAAGCTTCTGCATAGCAAAAAAAACAAAAATATTAGCAGACAACCCACAGAGTGGGAAAAAAATCTTCACAATCTATACATCTGAGAAAGGACTAATATTCAGAATCTACAGGGAACTCAAACATATCAGCAAGAACAAAACAAACAATTCCATCAACAAGTGGGCTAAGGACATGAATAGACAATTCTCAAAGGAAGATATACAAATGGCCAAAAAATATGAAAATAATGTTCAACATCACTAATTATCAGAGAAATACAAGTCAAAACCAAAATGCAATGCCACCTTACTCCTTCAAGAATGGCCATAATTAAAAAAAAATCTAAAAATAATAGATGTTGGTAGGGACGTGGTAAAAAAGGAACACTTTTACACTGCTGGTGGGAATGTAAACTAGGAAAACCACTATGGAAAATAGTGGAGATTCCTTAAAGAACTAAAAATAGAGCTATCATTTTTTCCAGCAGTCCCACTCTGGGTATCTATCCAGAGGAAAAGAGGTCACATATAAAGAAGATACTTGCTCACACATGTTTATAGCAGTAGTTGCAATTGCAAGAGTGTGTGATCAGCCCAAATGCCCATCAATCAATTAGTGGATAAAGAAAATGTGATACACACACACACACACACACACACACACACACACGCATCATGAAATACTAGTCAGTCATAAAAAGGAACAAAATAATGGCATTTGCAGCAACCTGAATGGAATCGGAGACCATTATTCTAAGTGAAGTAATTCAGGAATGGAAAGCCAAACATTGTATGCTCTCACTCATAAGTGGGAGCTAAGCTATGAGGATGCAAAGGCATATGATTAATACAATGGACTTTGAGGACTTGGGGGAAAGGGTGGGAGAGGAGAGATAGATAAAAGACTACACATTGGGTACAGTGTACACTGCCTGGGTGATTGGTGCACCAAAATTTCAGAAATCACCACTAAAGAACTTATTCATGTAACCAAACATCACCTGTTCCCCCAAATCCTGTTGCAATAATAATATAAAAGAAATGTAAAGGATCAATACTGACTACTATGAGCAACTATATGCTGGTAAATTGGAGAACCTAGAAAAAAAAGTGGACAAATTTCTACATACATACAACCTACCGAGATTGAACAAGAAAGAAATACAAAAAACCTGAAGAGATAAATTAAGAAGTAACGAGTTTGAGGCTATAATAAAAATTTTCCCAGTATAGAAAAGCCAGGAAATTGATGGCTTCACTGCTGAACTCTACCAAACATTTAAGGTAAAACTAATACCAACCCTACTCAAACTATTCCAGAAGCTAGAGGTGGAGGGAATACTTGCAAATTCATTCTATGAGAGTAGTAGTATTCTAATACCAAATATAAAGACACATTAAAAAAAAGAAAACTACAAGCCAATGTTTCTGATGAGTATTGATTCAAAAATATTCAACAAAATACTAGCAAACCAATTAACAATACATTAGAAAGATCATTCATCACGATTAATTAGGATTTATTTCTGGAATACAAGGATGATTCAACATATGCAAATCAATCAATGCAGTAAATCAATATCAACAGAATGAAGGATAAAGTCCATATGATCATTTCAATTGATGCTGAAAAAGCGTTTGATAAAATCCACATCCCTTTATGATAGAAATACTCAAAAAACTTGAGATAGAAGGAATATACATTAACATATTAAAAGCCATATATGAACGACCCACAGCTAGTATCATACTGAATAGGGAAAAAACTGAAAGCCTTTTCTCTAAGATCTGGAACATGACTCAGATGTCCACTGTCACCACTGTTATTCAATATAACACTGGATGTCTTAGCTAGAGCAATCAGAGAAGAGAAATAAATAAAAGACATCCAAACTGGAAAGGAAATCAACTAATCCTTGTGTGCAGATGATATAATCTTATATTTGGAAACTCATTAAAAACTCCACAAGAAAACTATTAGAACTGATAAACAAATTCAGTAAATTTACAGGATAAAAAATCAGTAGCACTTCTATATGCTGACAGTGAACAATGTGAAAATGAAATAAAAAAGTAATCTCATTGACAATAGACAGAAACGAAACAAAATACCTAGGAATTTAACCAAAGAAGTAAAATATCTCTATAATAAAAACTATAAAACACTGAAGACAACAGAAAAAAATATTTTATTTTTCACCGATTGGAAGACTCAATATTGTTAACATGTCCATACTACCCAAAGTAATCTACAGATTCAATGTAATCCCTATCAAAATACAAATGACATTCTTCACAGAAATAGAAAAAAACCTATCCTAAAGTTAATATGGAACCACAGAAGTCCCAGAATAGCCAAGGCTTTTCTAAGCCCAAAGAACAATAGTAGAGGAATCACATTACCTGTCTTCAAATTATACTACAGAACTATAGTAAACAAAACAGCATGGTACTGGCACAAAAAACAGACACATAGACCAATGAAGCAGAATAGAGAATGCAGAAATAAATCCACATACCCACAGTATACTCATTTTAAACAGAGATGCCAAGAACATAAACTGGAAAAATAAAATATCTTCAATAAAAGATGCTAAGAAAATTGAATATCGATATGCAGAAGAATGAATCTAGCCCCCATCTCTCATCATATACAAAAACAAAATCAAAATGGATTAAAGACTTAAATGTAAGACCTAAAACTACAAAACTACTACAAGAAGACTGAGGAAAATCTGCAGGACATTGGTTGGGGCAAAAATTTCTACCTTGATACATTACATGCACAGGCAATCAAAGCAAAAATGGACAAATGGAATCACATCAAGTTAAAAAGCTTCTGCACAGCAAAAGATACACTCAACAAAAGGAAAAGACAACTCACAGAATGGGAGAAAATATTTGCAAACTACCCATCTGACAAGGGATTAATAACCAGAATATATAAGAAGCTCAAACAACTCTATAGGAAAAATTTAATAATCTGATCAAAAAATGGGCAAAAGATCAGAATAGACTTTCTCAAAAGAAACAGACAAATGGCAAATAGGAATATGAAAAAGTGCTCCAAATCATTGATCATCAGAGGAATGCAAATCAAAACTATAATGTGATATCATCTCACCTCATTTTAACAAATGGTTTATATTCAAAAGACAGGCAATAACAAATGCTGGCAAGGATGTGGAGAAAAGAGAACCCTTGTACACTGTTGGTGGGAATGTAAATTAGTACAACCACTATGGAGAACAGTTTGGAGGTTCATCAGAAAACTAAAATTTGAGCTATTATATGACCCATCAATGCTACTGCTGGGTATATACCCAAAAGAAAGGAAATCAGTGTATCGAAGAGATATATGCACCCCTATGTTTGTTGCAGCACTGTTTACGATAGCTAAGTTTTGGAAGAAATGCAGGTGTCCATCAACATATGACTGGATAAAGAAAATGTGGTACATATACAAAACGGAGTGCCATTCAGCCCTAAAAGAAGAATGAGACCTTGTCATTTGCCACAAGATGGATCGAACTGAAGATTATTAAGTGAAATAAGCCAAGCACAGTAAGAAAAACATTGTGTGTTCTGACATTTCTGGTATTTAAAAATCAAAACAATTAAATTAAATAGTTACCAGAGGACGGTTACTAGTAGGGTGCTGGGGGAGAGGTGGAGACGGTTAGTGTGTACCAAAAAATCGTTAGAAAGAATGAATAAGACCTGCCATTTGATAGCATGATAAGGTGACTATAGTCAATAATAATTTCATCGTACATTTTAAAATAATTTAAAGCGTGTAACTGAATTGTTTGTAACTCCAGTAATAAATGCTTGAGGGGATAAATATCCCATTCTTCATGATGTGCTTATTACACATTGCATGCCTGTATCAAGTCATCTCATGTACCCCATCTATATGTACACCTACTATGTACCTACAAAAAGTAAAAATGTAAAACAAAGAATAAAACAAATTAAAAAACTGGAAAGTGCTATGGGGAATATTAAGCCTCCAGTTTTAAAGAAATTACAATCTAATGGAAATGGACACACATGTCTAAGAATCTATAATGAATTGCAGTCAGTTTCAATGACATAAAATGTACAAAGGATATTACTGTAAGTGACTAAGGGAAAGAAGATATTAATTCTAATTGAGGGTTCCAAAAGAGGCATTCTAAAACTTTTAAAAGTTGATTTTGCCCTTACAGTATGAATATGGGTTTATCGAGTAAATTAGTACAACCACTAGAGAAGAAATTATAGATAGAGACTAGGTCACAAGTGGAGGCAGTGATATAGAAAAGTACTGAACAAATTTGGGACAAGAACTTATATTTTGGCAAAGAAGGAGAAGTAAAAAATTTCCACTTTCCTAAACGTCCCTCAAACACTACAGGGACAAATGTTACACATTTGGCAATATAGTACAGTATTACCATTCTCACTTTATTTTTCAAATAAGGAACAAGCCAAATTAACAAGAGCGTACAATAGCACTGTAAAAATTATAATGCACAATATGACCCAAGTCAAACTACGTCAAAGTAAATTTACTGCTCGGATGTCAGATGCCTGTAGTCATGGTAGTCGATATATTATATGACAGAAACAAGATGCAAAAAATAAAAAATGTGTTAGCAATGAGTTGAACCTAGTACATTGAAATTTAGCACGGATAAATGTAACACCTTATCCTTAAGTTCAAAAGCCATTTGCACCATACAAACTCAGAAGCAAATGGATAAATAAAAAATAATACAAAAACATGATATTTAAAGGGACTGACTATAAACTATTAATAAATATAAGCTAGTTGTCCCTTAGGCTTACTAAAAAGGTAATGCCGTTTTAGGCTGCATGGATAGAGATAGAGTACACAAAAAAAGAAAAGTGATAAGCCACATCTGTAGTACTACGTTAATTATGAGTGCCACGTTTTTAAGAGAGCCATGTGCAAATTAGAGCATACTCAAAGAAGAATGACTAAACCAGGGACAGAATAAAAATCATTCTGTTAGAAACAACAGAATGAAATTAGAGTATTTAGGTATAGAAATACATGGCAGGCATGGGGAGCGAAGGAATGTATGACAATGCTCATTAGTCACTTGAGGGGCTATCATAGATAGAATTGGCCAGCTTGTTGTGTGTGGCTCCAAAGGACAGAATGAAAGCCTGTGGTCAGACATCTCAGAAAGACTGATTTTCATTCAATAAAAAGAATAAAAGCGTGCTGCAATTATAGCTGTCTGATATTACAATTGGTCACCTAATGAAAGAATGCAAGCCCCCTTCAATAGAGTTTTTTAAGAGTAGGCTTGAAGGCTACTTGTCAACGTATTTTAGAGATTCATACAACAATCATGTAGGGAGTTTAACTAGATAACCCCTAAGGCCTCCACTAATGGTAATGTTCTCTGATTCCATCAGTCTATGAAAAAGCATTTCATTAATTCTATAAGTCCATGAAAAAGGCATGTATTAATTCCAGTGTCATGTCATGATTAATAATGATATATTGAGAATGTTAAACACATTAATGGAATGACCACTTACATTAAAGTGTTTTCTAGTCAGCAGTAATACTTCATAATAAGTGAACACTTGTCTCCATTTAAATTACTAAGAATTCCCATTGAATTATTACTGCATTATGAATATGAAATGATTCTACTATAATAAATGCTTTATAATTAACATTGAAGAAAAGAATTAAGATTTTCCTATGCTATAACAATATGAATTATTAATGAAAAGGAATTTCAGTGTTTATCTCTTCATATTTCTATTCCGACTCCATTTGACATACTTTATCCTCCCTAGTTTTAATTCATACATCTGACATGTGGGGGGTGTCAATCTGGCTTATTCACCAAAAACGATAATGTTTAAAAACAGTGATGATGTATAGTCAACTGTGGGGCACAAATATGCGAAGGAAAAGTATCAGTGGGAAACAATATTTTATTTGGAAATATTTTTGTAATCATTTATATAAATATATATAGAGAGAGAAAATTAGAAAACAGAACAATAAAAAGGACTGACAATAAATGAAGGTCAAACCAATAATGACACGTTAATATAAAGTAATTTTGGGTTATTAGCTAAAGAATGACATATTTAGGAGCTATACCAATGTGAGAACTGGATATAAAGACATAATAAAATAATTGTGCTCAAAATAAGAGAGGCTACCTACAATGATATAAAAACAATGCATGTGAATGCTGATGTGGATAGAAATGATTTTTATTACACAAATATTCAATAATTATAAAATATTATGAAAATAGATTTTGTTTGTAAATTTTGTGACATGGAAATTTATTACTAATATTTTTATTACTGTATTCAAATATAATTTACATGCCATACAATTCACTTATTTAAAGAGTTGGATTCAATGGCTTTTAGTATGTGTATTGTTGTGCAACCATCACCATTATATACTTTTTGAACATTGTCTCTAAAATGAAACCTCATATCCAATAGCAGTCATTCTCCACTAACCTCCCTCAAAGTTAAATAATTACCAATCTACTTTCTGTCTCTATGGATACCCCATTTCAGGATATGTCATATAAATGGAGTCACATATTATGAGATATTTTGTGAATGACTTCTTTCATTTACCATAATGTTTTAAAGATTCATACATATTTTTATATTGTCAATGCTTCATTATTTTTATTGTTATATAATATTCCATTATACATAAATACCATATTTTTATCCATTCATCAGTGGATAGACATTTGTATTGCTCCTCTTTTATCTATTATGAATAATGCTGCTATGTATAATAAGGTGTAAAGTTTTACGTGACTTATGTTTTAATTTCTCTTAGGTAAATGGCGAGAAGTAGAAATGGTGTTAAAATGATTATTTTGTGTTTAACCTATTGAGGAATTGTCAGGCTCTTTTTCAAAGCTACATTCTCCCCAACACTTGTTATCATCTGTTTATTTGTTTGTATCCTTATTAGTGATTAGTGGGTATGGAGTAATATCACATCATAGTTATGATTTTTATTTCCCTGATGGCTAATAATGTTTAGCAACTTTTCATGCCCTTATTTACCATTTGTATATCTTCTTTAGCCATATGTCTGTTTAAATCATTTTTACATTTTAATGGGTTATTTGTCTTTTTATTTGTGAATTTCAAGAGTTCTTTATATAGTCTGAATAAAACTCCCTTATGAGAAACAGTCATACGTCACTTAATAATGTTTTGTTGAATGGTGGACTGCATGTATGATGGTGGTCACATAAGATTATAAAAGAGCTGAAAAATTTGTTTGCACAGCTGAAAAGTTTGCACATAAAAAGTCAAAAAGTTTAAAAAATTTAGAAAAGTATAGAAAATAAAATGTTACATTAAGTGAAGTTAATTTATTTTTGAAGAAATAATAGTTTTATAAATTTAGTATAGCCTACATGTACTCTATGTATAAAGTCTATAATAGTAAACAATAACATTTTAGCCCTTCAAATGCACTTGCCATTCACTGACTCACTCAGAGCAACTTCTAGTTGTGCAAGCTCCATTCATAGTAAATACCCTGTGAAGGTGTACCATTTTTTAAATCTTTTATATTGCATTTTTACTGCACCCTTTCTATGTTTAGATATATTTAGATACACAAATATCATTGTGTTATTACAATTGCCTGTAGTATTCAACACAATAACAGGCTGTGCTGGTTTGTAGCCTAGGAGCAATAGGCTATATCATACAGCCTAGGAATGTAGTAGGTTATACTATCTAGGTTTGTGTAAGTATAATACATTCTACATGAAAAAATTGCCTAATAATGTACTTCTCAGAACGTTGTTAAGTAACACGTGAATGTATATAATTTGCAAGTATATTCTCCTACTCTGTTAGTTGTCCTTAAAATTAATACTATTTTTAATTTAGACATAACTGTATAAGTTTATGAAGTACAATAAGATGTTTTTATATATACATACAATGTGGAATGGTTGAACCAAGCTAGGTAACATATCCATCGATTCACTTATTTTTTGTTATGAGACATTTGAAATTCACTCTCTTAGTTATTTTATTTTTTGTTTTTTGTATATTATTTATTTATTTATTTTTATTATACTTTAAGTCCTGGAGTACATGTGCAGAACGTGCAGTTTTGTTACATAGATAAACAAGTGCCATGGTGGTTTGCTGCACCCATCAAACCATCACCTACATTAGATATTTCTCCTAACGTTATCCCTCCCCTAGCCCCCAGCCCCCAACAGGACCTGGTGTGTGATGTTCCCCTCCCTGTGTCCATGTGTTCTCCATGTTCAACTCCCACTTATGAGTGAGAACATGCAGTGTTTGGTTTTCTGTCCTTGTGATAGTTTGCTGAGAATGATGGCTCCCAGCTTCATCCATGTCCCTGCAAAGGACATGAACTCATCCTTTCTTATAGCTGCATAGTATTCCATGGTGTATATGTGCAAAATTTTTTTTATCCAGTCTATCATTGATGGATATTTGGGTTGGTTCCAAGTCTTTGCTATTGTGAATAGTGCTGCAATAAACATACGTGTGCATGCGTCTTTATAGTAGAATGATTTATAATCCTTTGGGTATATACCCAGTAATGGGATTGCTGGGTCAAATGGTATTTCTAGCTCTAGATCCCTGAGAAATAGCCACACTATCTTCCACAATGGTTGAACTAATTTACACTTCCACCAACAGTGTAAAAGTGTTCCTATTTCTCCACATCCTCTCCAGCATCTGTTGTTTCCTGAACTTTTAATGATCGCCATTCTAGCTGGCGTGAGATTGTATCTCATTGTGGTTTTGCTTTGCATTTCCCTAATGACCAGCGATGATGAGCATTTTTTTATGTTTGTTGGCTGCATAAATGTCTTCTTTTGAGAAATGTCTATTCATGTCCTTTGCCCACTTTTTGATGGGGTTGTTTGCTTTTTTCTTGTAAATTTGTTTGTTTGTAGATTCTGGATATTAGTTCTTTGTCAGATGGATAGGTTGCAAACAGTTTCTCCCATTCTGTAGGTTGCCTGTTCACTCTGATGATAGTTTCTTTTGTTGTGCAGAAGCTCTTTAGTTTAATTAGATCCCATTTGTCAATTTTGGCTTTTGTTGCCATTACTTATTGTGTTTTAGACATGAAGTCTTTGCCCATGCCTATGTCCTGAACGGTATTGCCCAGGTTTTCTTCTGGGGTTTTTATGGTTTGGGGTCTAACGTTTAAATCTTTAATCCATCTCGAGTTGATTTTCATATAAGGTGTAAGGAAGGGGTCCAGTTTCAGTTTTCTGCATATGGCTAGCCAGTTTTCCCAACACAATTTATTAAAGAGGGCATCTTTTCCCAATTGTTTGTTTGTGTCTGGTTTGTCAAAGATCAGATGGTTGTAGATGTGTGGTGTTATTTCTGAGGCATTCTTCTCAGCACCTCAGTGCACTTATTCTAAAATTGACCACATAATTGGAAGTAAAACACTCCTCACCAAATGTAAAAGAATGGAAATCATAAGAAACAGTCTTTCAGACCACAGTGCAATCAAATTAGAACTCAGGATTAAGAAACTCACTAAAAACTGCAGGACTACGTGGAAACTGAAAAATCTGCTCCTGAATGACTACTGGGTAAATAACAAAATGAAGGCAGAAATAAAGATGTTCTTTGAAGCCAATGAGAACAAAGACACAATGTACCAGAATCTCTGGGACACATTTAAAGCAGTGTGTAGAGGGAAATTTATAGCACTAAATGGCCACAAGAGAAAGCAGAAAAGATCTAAAATTGACACCCTAACATCAAAATTGAAAGAACTAGAGAAGCAACAGCAAACAAATGCAAAAGCTAGCAGAAGACAAGAAATAACTAAGATCAGAGCAGAACTGAAGGAGACAGAGACACGAAAAACCCATCTCAGTTATTTTAAAGTTTACAATGCATTACTATTGATTATAGTCAACCTGATGTGTGATATATTTCAAAATCTATTCCTGAAAACTTTGATCAACAACTCCTCACTCCCTCCCTCCCACACACCCCACCCAGATAAGCTTCTGATAACCGTCACTCTATTCTTTGCTTCTATGAGTTCAACATTTTTAGATTTCACATGTAAGTGAGACTGTGTGGTATTTGTCTTTCTGTGCCTGACTTATTTTGCTTAGTATAATGTCCTACAGATTCATCCATGTTGTTTCAAATGATAAGCTTTATTATTGTTAAGGTAAAATAGAATTCCATTGTGTGTGTGTGTGTGTGTGTGTATATATATATATATACACATATATGTGTATATATATATATATATACACATATATATGTATATATATGTACCACATTTTGTATTCCCTCATCAACTAGATTGATTTCATATCTTGACTATTGTGAGTAATGCTGCAGTCAACATGGGAGTGCAGATATGCCTTCAACATATTGATTTTAGTCTCTTGGATATATATCCAAAAACTACACTGCTTTATGTAGAAATTCAAAAACTCCCATGCTTCTAAAGTCTACCATAAAGAGAAAAGTTGATCAAAACTATGGGTGTTTAAAAATATGTTCAATTAACTATGAAAAAAAATAGTGAAAATAGGTACAGTTTCATTCTTTAAGATATTTAACAGGCAAAAATGGAATTTAATTTTCATTTATTCTACCCAAAGAGTTAATTGTAAAAAAAAATACAAGGAGTATTCAGAGTAATGTAGTTTTAGACATCATCACTTTCAAATGTAACCACATTTGAATTGTCCAGGTATCCCAAGTGTATCTAAGAACTGTATAAAATTGTCATGTATTTTGGGTCCCTGCTGGGAACACATCAGTCATCAGCCTCAAAGTGTAGTAATATTTCCAGGCAGTTTTATTATACACTTGGAGTCTTTCTATTGATTCTGTTGGCAATGCTTTAATGTAGATAGCGGTGTCTGTTTTGTAACCCTCCAGGAATATAGCATTAGATCTCCTTGGTAGTACTGTGCATAAAGACATGATATGGGCAATCTGTAACCAAACCTAGCCAGAGCTCAGAAAATCTCAGCACCAGGATGTGGTGCAGTTGAACACATGTAGATGAAGAGTCTGTCAGTTTTCCTCAAAGGAACACTACCTCCTCAGTCACTCATTTTACAGTCAAATCTTTATTACCCAGTGTGACAGAAACTTGAATAGGGAGATAAACACTTCATTGACATGATGGCCCATAGTTGTTCTCATTGCATTCTTGAAAAATTCAAACACCAGGTGAAAGAGATACGATGGTATATAACCCACTTATATTGGTTGTCCTCATGGCTTTACATTTACTTCTTCATGTTTGAATTTGGAAGAATCAATATAATACAAATCACACAGATGTGCGGCATTTTCATAGCCATATTTAATAATTTTGTCTACACTGCAGTTTGCATTTATGATTGCAATATGTTTTTCAGGAGATAGACTTCATCTTTTTCACCAAACAATAAAGAGTGCAGATAGAGTAACATTCTAGTTGAAAGGCAACTCATGTAAAAATGATTCAAAAAGTACTGAGCACTCTGGTGACAGAATCTACTCCAAAGCTTTCTTATTCAATCACATTCTGGGCCATTTTAGAAAGGATGTCTTTGTGTCAGTTCCTGATCCATATCACAGTTATCTGTAAAGTAATGAATCGTTTTAGCATCTCATAGTGCTTTTGTCCTTAAAAATCAAGATGCTCCTGAAGACTCTGTATATACAAGCTTTGTACCAATTGAATTGATGATGTCCTGAGAAGATTATGTGAAAGAAGACTTATTCTTTTTATTATATTTGCTAATTTAATAGGCAAGTATTACTGGAGAAGCACAAATGATGCCTTTTCACTAGCACTCACATATACGCAGTCCAGAAACTGCTTTATGGACAGCAAGGACTGTGAGAAGTGCATGTGTAAGTCCACTTAGTCTGGAATGCCAGATGCCAGGTGGGAGCCAGAGTCTGAGATAAAGCTGCAGCTGGCATTGGGGTGGGTGGTGCACAGCCCTGCATCCAGGCCGGTCAATGCAACTCTACACAACAGCCCAACCTTCAATTTTCTTGATTGTTTCTTCTGACTTATCAAATCTACTATTGAGTCCTGTAGTGAATTTTTTTTTATTTTGGCTATTGAAATTTAACTCCAGAATTTCTATTTTCAAAGATAATTAATATCTTTCTGTTGGTATTCTCTATTTGATAAGACATTATCATCCACATTTCTCTACTTATTTAAGCATGATTTACTTCAGTTCTTTAAATATATTTATAATAACTAATTTGAATTCATTGTCTGCTGAGTTTACTACCTGAACACCTTCAAAGTTAGTTTCTGTCACCTGTTCTTTTTTTTTTTTTTCTGTGATTGGGTTACACTTTCCTGTTGCTTTGTATATTCTGTTATTTTTATTGAAAACAAGTCATTTTAGATAATACATTGTAAAAACAAACTTGAAACTCTGGATTCTGATTCCCACTCCAAGGATTGTCATTTTTGTTGTTTGCTTGTTTGTGTGTGTGTGTGTGTGTGTGTGTGTGTGTGTGTGTGTGTAAACTAACCTCATTAGTCTACTTTTCCTGCAGTGTACAGCCTGGCTCTTTTTTTTTTTTTTTTGTATTTTATTCTTCTTAACCTGGCTACTTAGGGGTCACTCTTGTTACAGCATAAGCCACTTACTGGGCAAAAGTTGTGATAAAGTCCCCTTAGCCTATTAGATTTTTACCGTTTACCATTATATGTGTGTCTGGCTTGGAGGCTGTTAGTTCAGGAAGTTAATGTATTTTCCCCCACATTCATACAAGTAGTAGCAGCTTAGAGATTCCTTCTCTGAGCACAGCTAAGAGAGTGCAATCATCAGCGTGTACACAGTCTTCTAAGCTTTTGGGGATTACTGTGATATTATTTTTAAATTTGGATTCCTAGAAGTCAACCTTGGGTCAGAGTAGCTTACTGTCTAGTCAGTGTTTGGTCATAGTTTGCATTCAAGTCTCTTATGCCAGTAAAGTTTCAGCTCTCTGTTGATGTGTCTGCGTGTATCAAGAAATGCTTTCTGCCAGGCACAGTGGCTCTTGCCTGTAATCCCAGCACTTTAGGAGGCCAAGGTGGGTGGATCGCAAGGTCAGGAGTTTGAGACCAGCCTGACCAACATGGTGAAACCCCATCTCTACTAAAAATACAAAAAATTAGTCGGGCATGATGGTGCACACCTGTAATCCCAGCTACTCAGGAGGCTGAGGCAGGAGAATCGCTTGAACCCGGGAAGCAGAGGTTGCAGTGAGCCGCGATCATGCCACTGCACTCCAGCCTAGGCAACAGAACAAGACTCTGTCTCAAAAACAAAAACAAAACAAAACAAAAAGAAATGCTTCCAAGTCTGCCTCTCATCTTGCTCCAATTGCTTCCAAGTGAGTACAGCCTAACACATATGTACAGATTTCCCAACTCCTAGAACTTACTGTACTCTCAAGAGAGCACTTTCCTAATTATCTCTTATTAAACTTCTGGCTACTTTGTTATTTTGCTTGTACTATGAAGGTACCAGTCTTCTCTTAACTGTTCTCCAAAAAGATCTCACATTTTTTGACAATATTAGACATGGAGTTCTCCAATCTCTGTTTCTTATGAAGTTATTTTTTTTTAGGCAGACTTATGGAGCACTTTCACCTTATTGTGCGTGTCTCTTGCCTTTCTCCCTGGACAAAACCACTACACCTTTGCACTAGAGCTGGGTGCAGGGGACCTGAATGACACCCGCATTCTATGAGTGGGTTCTGGGGGACAGGCGGCATCCCCTAGTCTTCTCATCTTGCTTTCCTGAACATGGAGACTCTACGCTACTAGCATAGTGCGGTAAGCTTCAGAGGGCCCAGTATTTTCAACCTGCTGTACTTGGTAGAACTTCTATTAGTTAATGAGGCCTGGTAGGGTAGGGAAAACAAGTTTCTGCCGCATACCCAGAATAAAGCTTCTATAACTCATGGCTGAAAGGAATAAGACAAACAAACAGCCTGCTCCTTCTGGAATGAAAACATAACACCAGACTGGAGCTGAGAAAAAAAAGGAGTCCCCATCTTACAGGCTGCATAAAAACAGGGTAGAGTTTCCATAACACAGAGCTGAGGAAGGAGGTATAATCGAGTGGGTGGTGGCTCAAATGCCAAAGACTCATGATATTGTTACCAAGATTTGATATTCTTTCATGAATGATTCTCTATTGTTTGCCCTCAGGACTATTTTCAGAGATTTTGAGTGTTTTTAAAAGAATTTGGTCAGTTAAATTGTTCTTTTGCTAGGAAAAGTGTCTGTTTTCATCTGTTTGGGCTTCCATAGCAAAATACCATAGACTGTGTAGTGTATAAACCATGAAAATTTAAGTCTTACAATTCTAGAGGCTGGGAAGTGCAAGATCAAGATGCCGGCAAATTTGTTGTCTGGTGAGGGAAATTTTCTTGTTTTATAAATGGAGCCTTCTCACTGTATTCTTGCATGGTTGAAAGGGTGAGGTGTCTCTTTTGGGCTTCTTTTATAAAAGCACTAATCTCATTCATGAGGGCTCCACCCTCATGACCTAATCACATCCTAAAGGCATCACCTCTTATTATTATTACCTTGGGGATTAGGATCTCAATCCATGAATTTGGGGACACATAAACACCCAGACAATAACAGGGTCCTCTGAGCTCCTTACTCCATCATCTCTGAGCTTCTTGTGCTATCATCTCAGAAGTCTGACCTCACTACTAACATTTTCATATGTATGTTTTCTGTGTTTTCATTGTAGAAAAATGTAAATAATGGTGTCCTTATTTTTGTTGTAAAATTATTCAAATACAATGGATTTTTTTAATGCTTTGATGAAGTTTGTACAGCTCTTTGAAAAATACTTTCCATTAAGGCATTGTATCCCCAGGTTTGTGGTTTTCTATTATTGGTTATTTATGGCTCTTTATAGTCTGGCTCCAATCCACCTTCCAACCTGCTCTCCCACTACATTCCTCATTAGCTCTCCATGGAAGTCAGGGTGATCTACCTATCATCCCTTGAAAATGCCAAGTTATTTTTTACTTCTACATTTTTATTTATGCTCCTCATGTACTCTACTTTTTAACTTGCTGCCCAAATCCTTCTAATCATTGAGGGCTTAATTGAACTTCCATTTCCAACAAGAAACTATACATGACCATCCTGGTTATTATTTATCTCTCTCTTTCCTTTGATATTTTAAATATTTACCACCAATACTCATGGTATATACATTCTACTGCCTTATGACATTACCTGCATACTTGCCTTTTTTATATCTTGGAAGTGTGTTTATGCTTTGACCCCAAATAAATAATAAGCTCTTGGAAAACATGGAACTTTTGGAGCTATTGGATTGTAACCAATAGCCTCTTTGTAGCCTTCCTAGTTAAGTATATCACTGCAGATATATAATGTTCTTAGTAAATATTTCATTGAGTAAATTTGCTCCCTGATGAGTCCTGAAATAGTACTCTATTTGTATTGACACAAAAATTACTTTGCTCATTGATGGAAGTGAAAGCCTCTTAAGTATGCTTGCTCATAAGATCCCTGGATTATTGGATCACTAAGAGCAAATAGCAGTTGCCCCTTCATATACATGTGTTCTAGGGTTATAGCAATGAACAGGCATGCCTGAAAAAGTAATGTACCAGAACTCCTAATAATGTTCTCTATTCATATTGAAATTTTTCTTATTATTTTCATATAATATTTTAAGAATTCTCATGTGCTAAAAATAGCTAGTTAAATAGATATGGTGCCTAATCAAGTGTCAACTCTAATATATCTTAAACCCAAACTCATTGATTGCCATTAATTTAATTTGCGGCTTGATGAAGAGAGAGAAAATTTTTTAAAATAGAAAAAGAACTTAATTTTCTTAACCTCTTTGGTGTTCTGTATTAAATTAATATTGACTAATATAGTAGCAATAATCATGATGAAGAAATAAGTGAAGTTAAGAAATTTCCCCATGGCAATGCAGAAAGTGACAAACCAGGATGAGAAGCCGTGTCTTCAGTGTGCACAATTATTTCATCAGTTAGGTAAAATTCTGGTCAGTTGTTAAAAATAATATATTTTTTAAAATGATTAAGCATATATCAAATGAAGGCCTGAAGCTTCAAAACTTAACATTGCCATGTTATTAACTTTAATTCCACCTTGGCAACTTCTTACACTTGTATAAAAAGTTATGAGCAGCCTCCTAAGGCAAATACTGTATCTTGGGAAAAAAATGGATGATTTTAAGTTTGATTCTAAGTCAAGTATGATCTTATTCAGTTGGTTTCAAAATAATCAGTTGCTGGCTAGGCCAAACAAAAAATTACAAGAGAAAGTATTGTCCTCTAATCTTGAGATTTTCATATCTAATATACATTGTTGATATGTTTTCCCTTGAATTCTTGTATAAGTTATTATTTTTGAAGCCAAGTCCACATCTTTAAAACATTATATAATAACATTTCATGCTCTCTAAACTAGTATATTCAAACTGAAGATTGTAGATCATCTCCAAAGAACCAACACCGCCAAAATAATTCTTCATGATGGTATATGACAGATATTTCTTCATAGTCTCACATCTTCATTATACTGTAAAACAAAATATTTATTTTTTTAACTCTACAAACGAAATCTCATTTTGCATGGAATTCTACACAGAATGAAATACAGGTTATCTGCATAGTAGGAAGCACATTTATAAGGTATGCTTTCTGGCATTTACTTTGTACCAGTGCATTTCAAATTTTAATGTGCACAAGTAGAGATCTTTTTGAAATGCACATTTTTATGTATTACTTCTGGGGGGGGGGTGCTAAAATTCTGCATTTCTTACAAGCTCCCAAGTGATGCCATTGCTGCTGGTTTATTGACTAATGTGAATACCAAGACTTTATATTGTTAAAAAAAAAAAGAGTGTAAGAATGTTGATACTTTTGAAGTTTGATGGTGTGTAGGTGTATGATCATTATGCTGTTTTCTTTATTATGGTGTATGTTCGAGTTTTCATAATAAAATATTTTAACTATCAAAATTTTTTTCTTTTTTTATTATACTTTAAGTTTTAGGGTACATGTGCACAACGTGCAGGTTTGTTACATATATATACATGTGTCATGTTGGTGTGCTGCACCCACTAACTCAACATTTAACATTAGGTATATCTCCTAATGCTATCCTTCCCCCCTCACCCCACCCCACAACAGGCCCTGTTGTGTGATGTTCCCCTTCCTGTGTCCATGTGTTCTCATTGTTCAATTCCCACCTATGAGTGAGAATATGCAGTGTTTGGTTTTTTGTCCTTGTTATAATTTACTGAGAATGATGGTTTCCAGCTTCATCCATGTCCTTAAAAAGGACACGAACTCATCATTTTTTATGGCTACATAGTATTCCATGGTGTATATGTGCCACATTTTCTTAATCTAGTCTATCATTGTTGGACATTTGGGTTGGTTCCAAGTCTTTGCTATTGTGAATAGTGCCGCAGTAAACATACATGTGCATGTGTCTTTATAGCAGCATGATTTATAATCCTTTAGGTATATAACCAGTAATGGGATGGCTGGGTCAAATGGTATTTCTAGTTCTAGATCCCTGGGGAATCGCCACACTGACTTCCACAATGGATGAACTAGTTTACAGTCCCACCAACAGTGTAAAAGTGTTCCTATTTCTCCAAATCCTCTCCAGCACCTGTTGTTTCTTGACTTTTTAATGATCGCCATTTAACTGTTGTGAGATGGTATCTCACTTGTGGTTTTGATTTGCATTTCTCTGATGGCCAGTGATGATGAGCATTTTTTCATGTGTCTGTTGGCTGCATAAATGTCTTCTTTTGAGAAGTGTCTGTTCATATCCTTTGCCTACTTTTTGATGGGGTTGTTTGTTTTTTTCTTGTAAATTTGTTTGGGTGTAGATTCTGGATATTAGCCCTTTATCAGATGAGTAGACTGCAAAAATTTTCTCCCATTTTGTCGGTTGCCTGTTCACTCTGATGGTAGCTTCTTTTGCCGTGCAGAAGCTGTTTAGTTTAATTAGATCCCATTTGTCAATTTTGGCTTTTGTTGCCATTGCTTTTGGTGTTTTAGACATGAAGTCCTTGCTCATGCCTATGTCCTGAATGGTATTGCCTAGGTTTTCTTCTAGGGTTTTTATGGTTTTATGTCTAACATTTAAATCCATAACCCACCTTGAATTAATTTTTGTATAAGGTGTAAGGAAGTGATCCAGTTTCAGCTTTCTACATATGGCTAGCCAGTTTTCCCAGTGCAATTTATTAAATAGGGAATCCTTTCCCCATTTCCTGTTTTTGTCAGGTTTGTCAAAGATCAGACAGTTGTAGATATGCGGCACTATTTCTGAGGCCTCTGTTCTGTTTCATTGGTCTATATCTCTGTTTTGGTACCAGTAACATGCTGTTTTGGTTACTGTAGCCTTGTAGTATAGTTTGAAGTCAGGTAGTGTGATGCCTCCAGCTTTGGGAAGCCCATCAGACTAACAGCTGATCTCTCAGCAGAAACTCTACAAGCCAGAATAAAGTGGGGGTCAATACTCAACATTCTTAAAGAAAAGAATTTTCATCCCAGAATTTCATATCCAGCCAAACTAAGATTCGTAAGTGAAGGAGAAATAAAATTCTTTACAGACAAGCAAATCCTGAGAGATTCTGTCACCACCAGGCCTGCCCTAAAGGAGCTCCTGAAGGAAGCACTAAACATGGAAAGGAACAACCGGTACCAGCCACTGCAAAAACATGCCAAATTGTAAAGACCACTGAGGCTAGGAAGAAACTGCATCAACTAACGAGCAAAATAACCAGCTAACATCATAATGACAGGATCAAATCCACACATAACAATATTAACCTTAAATGTAAGTGGGTTAAATGCTCCAATTAAAAGACACAGAAAGGCAAATTGGATAAAGAGTCAAAATCCATCAGTGTGCTGTATTCAGGAAACCCATCTCACGTGCAAAGACACACATAGGCTCAAAATAAAGGGATGGAGGAAGATCTACCAAGCAATTGGAAACAAAAAAAAGGCAGGGGTTGCAATCCTAGACTCTGATAAAACAGAGTTAAACCAACAAAGATCAAAAGAGAAAAAGAAGGCCATTACATAATGGTAAAGGGATCAATTCAACAAGGAGAGCTATCTATCCTAAATATCTATGCACCCAATACAGGAGCACCCAGATTCATAAAGCAAGTCCTTAGAAACCTACAAAGAGACTTAGACTCCCACACAATAATAATGGGAGACTTTAACACCCCACTGTCAACATTAAACAGATCAACAAGACAGAAAGTTAAAAGGATATCCAGGAATTGAACTCAGCTCTGCACCAAGCTGACCTAATAGACATCTATAGAACTCTCCACCCCAAATCAACAGAATATACATTCTTTTCAGCACCATACCAAACCTATTCCAAAATTGACCACATAGTTTGAAGTAAAGCACTCCTCAGCAAATGTAAAAGAACAGAAATTATAACAAGCTGTCTCTCAGACCACAGTGCAATCAAACTAGAACTCAGAATTAAGAAACTCACTCAAAACCGCTCAACTACATGGAAACTGAACAACCTGCTCCTGAATGACTACTGGGTACATAACGAAATGAAGGCAGAAATAAAGATGTTCTTTGAAACCAATGAGAACAAAGACACAACATACCAGAATCTCTGGGACACATTCAAAGCAGTGTGTAGAGCTAAATTTATAGCACTAAATGCCTACAAGAGAAAGCAGGAAAGATCTAAAATTGACATCCTAACATCACAATTAAAAGAACTAGAGAAGCAAGAGCAAACACATTCAAAAGCTAGCAGAAGGCAAGAAATAACTAAGATCAGAGCAGAACTGAAGGAAATAGAGACACAAAAAATCCTTCAAAAAATCAATGAATCCAGGAGCTGGTTTTTTGAAAAGATCAACAAAATTGATAGATCACTAGCAAGACTAATAAAGAAGAAAAGAGAGAAGAATCAAATAGATGCAATAAAAAATGCGTTTACACTGTTGGTGGGACTGTAAACTAGTTCAACCATTGTGGAAGTCAGTGTGGCGACTCCTCAGGGATCTAGAACTGGAAATACCATTTGACCCAGCCATCCCACTACTGGGTATATACCCAAAGGACTATAAATCATGCTGCTATAAAGACACATGCACCCGTATGTTTATTGCGGCATTATTCACAATAGCAAAGACTTGGAACCAACCCAAATGCCCAACAATGATAGACTGGATTAAGAAAATGTGGCACATATACACCATGGAATACTATGCAGCCATAAAAAATGATGAGTTCATGTCCTTTGTAGGGACATGGATGAAATTGGAAATCATCATTCTCAGTAAACTATCGCAAGAACAAAAAACCAAACACCGCATATTCTCACTCATAGGTGGGAACTGAACAATGAGATCACATGGACACAGGAAGGGGAATATCACACTCTGGGGACTGTTGTGGGGTGGTGGGAGGGGGCAGGGATAGCATCGGGAGATATATCTAATGCTAGATGACGAGTTAGTGGGTGCAGCGCACCAGCATGGCACATGTATACATAGGTAACTAACCTGCACAATGTGCACATGTACCCTAAAACCTAAAAGTATAATAAAAAAAAGAAGTAATAAAAAAAAGATAAAGGGGCTATCACCACTGATCCCACAGAAATACAAACTACCGTCAGAGAATACTATAAACACCTCTATGCAAATAAACTAGAAAATCTAGAAGAAATGGATAAATTCCTCGACACATACACTCTCCCAAGACTAAACCAAGAAGAAGTTGAATCTCTGAATAGACCAATAACAGGCTCTGAAATTGAGTCAATAATTAATAGCTTACCAACAAAAAATGTCCAGGACCAGACGGATTCACAGCCGAATTCTACCAGAGGTACAAGGGGGAGCTGGTACCATTCCTTCTGAAACTATTCCAATCAATAGAAAAAGAGGGAATCTTCTCTAACTCATTTTATGAGGCTAGCATCATCCTGATACCAAAGCCTGGCAGAGACACAACCAAAAAAGAGAATTTTAGACCAATATCCCTGATGAACATCGATGCAAAAATCCTCAATAAAATACTGGAAAACCGAATCCAGCAGCACATCAGAAAGCTTATCCACCATGATCAAGTGGGCTACATCCCTGGGATGCAAGGCTGGTTCAACATACGCAAATCAATAAATGTAATCCAGCATATAAACAGAACCAACGACAAAATCCACATGATTATCTCAACAGATGCAGAAAAGGCCTTTGACAAAATTCAACAGCCCTTCATGCTAAAAACTCTCAATAAATTAGGTATTGATGGGATGTATCTCAAAATAATAAGAGTTATTTATGACAAACCCACAGCCATTATCATACTGAATGGGCAAAAACCAGAAGCATTCCCTTTGAAAACTGGCACAAGACAGGGATGTCCTCTCTCACCACTCCTATTCAACATAGTGTTGGAAGTTCTGGCTAGGGCAACCAGGGAGGAGAAAGAAATAAAGGGTATTCAATTAGGAAAAGAGGAAGTCAAATTGTCCCTGTTTGCAGACGACATGATTGTATATCTAGAAAACCCCATCATCTCAGCCCAAAATCTCCTTACACAGATAGGCCACTTCAGCAAAGTCTCAGGATACAAAATCAATGTGCAAAAATCACAAGCATTCTTATACACCAATAACAGACAAACAGAGAGCCAAATCATGAGTGAACTCCCATTCACAATTGCTTCAAAGAGAATAAAATACCTAGGAATCCAACTTACAAGGGATGTGAAGGACCTCTTCAAGGAGAACTACAAACCACTGCTCAATGAAATAAAAGAGGATACAAACGGGGTGGGTATCCTCCGAGAGCAGGGATGCTGTGCAAATCTTTTCCACTTTCCAGTAACCTATGGTAGTGCAAGATGAGGTTAGGACATTGCTACATGTTTATGTTAATACAAGCTTTAGAGACTACAAATCGTTAGCCAATGATGCATTCTCGTTTTGAACTAAGAAGTTGACCATCCAGTTAGCCTTTGCTGTACATAGAATAAATAAGTCAATGGCATGATAGACTTAAAATGTTTAAAGTACAGCATAATTAGAAGTATCTGTGAAAGCGATTATTACTTAAACATAACAGATTAATAAAATGTAAAATTAATAAAAAAAGAGGATACAAACAAATAGAAGAACATTCCTTGCTCATGGGTAGGAAGAATCAATATCCTGAAAATGACCATACTGCCCAAGGTAATTTATAGATTCAATGCCATCCCCATCAAGCTACCAATGACTTTCTTCACAGAATTGGAAAAAACTACTTTAAATATCAGAAATTTAAAAATGAAGGATAAGTCCTCAGCATTTGGCTTATAGTAAGCTCAATATATATCTTTGATTGACGGTTCTGAATTGAGGAAGGACCCAAGAAGGAGCCATTAGACTTTGTGCAATGTGACTGAGGAATTAGCGCTCTAAAAAGGATAATATCAGTTAACCAGTTGGCCAATGAAGGTATATATAAATATAGTCTAAAAGTTTTATTTTCTTTAAGGTTATATATTTCTTCTATATGTTCTGCTAGGAAAAAAAAAAAAACTTAGAGAAGCATCATACCATAACTTTGGGTTAAAAATTATAATATGGCCTCTTTCCATGCTCACAGCCAGTGAGTTGAGACCCAAAAGTGGCATAATTTATGTTTTTCACTTAGGCTAGTTTGACTGGACAACAAGTGTCTATGGAACAGAGATGCATTGAAAATACTGCAGCCAGGTCATCTCCACTGTTTAAAATTTTCAATGTGGTGTGACTAGGAAGATAAGATTTGAAAAGCCTAGCCTTACTTATTCCAAGGAATACAGGATAAGGCCAGATTGAACGGCAGGAAACCTAAGACTAAAATAGATATTTTTAAAAATTTAGTTGTATTACTTTCAAGTACATAGTTATTTAAACTATACTTTGAAAATGCATTGCCCATGAGAAGTCCTTAGGGAGATCAATTGAATTAATAGGATAATATTTATCATGTAAGTAGGTGTTTCTAAATGCTTCAGGAAGACTCAACAAATTCTTCTTTTAAGTCATCTAAATATGATTTCTGAATACTTGTATAGTTTTTTAAATCTTTGATGGCTATTAAGGAAATTATATTTTAAAAAACGCTGGAAACTGCAGTACAGCTCCAAGTGATATATATTAGCAGAGACCAAAGGAATGTGACTATATGATTAATGTATTTGGTCAATGTAAAGATAGCTTTCAATATTTCTCCCAGTCTCTTGACTATATAACAGATATATTCTCCAAACGTCAGTCTTCATATGTATATTTTCACCATATAATATAAAGCAAGTTTAAAATAATAATATTAGATGTGTGAATTACTAGATCCAGACATATTAACTCAAATTATCTGAGCAGTGAAGGCCAGAAAACTACATTTTAAAAAATGTCCCCAGATAATTCTATAGTATACACTAGTTTGAGAACCCTTGGGCTTAACAGTGGCCAAACAGGAAATGAGCTACAGATAAAATTTTTCAATTTTTTCAGTTGCTAGCTGCTGTGAGCAGTTGTATACCATGAGAGGAGAATATGGATGGGAATGGCTAACCAATAACGGATGGGGATAAGCTGTGGATCAACATTTTTCTTTTTTTCTTTCTGTGCCTCAATGATTCTTGCTCAACAAGACTTTGTCATATGCTGGTGACAACCAAAAGTTAATATGTAAAATATGGTCTCATCTTATTTTCTGTTTTTTTTCACGTAAGTGTAACACTAGTTTTTTCATCCTATCTAACCCCATATTAAAAAATAGAAATAAATGCATTTAACTCTAATTATTTGAGATTTTCTGATTCCCTATTTTTATTAATTATTTATTTCCAGTAAGTACTATTCTAAATAGTATTTTTAATATACAGTACAGAAAGGGCCTAGAATAGTATTTATCACCATCATCAATGAGATTCATTTTTACATTCTCATTATTAAAACATCTGCTAACTTGAAGAATATTTTAGCACCTTGTTGACAACTAGACATCAATATTTTTTTTAAAAAAAAGTTCCATGACTCTAAGTGTTTGCTAGAAAGTGCATATTTATAAAAGTCACAAATGCAAACTTGTTTTCCCTCTTATTGATAAGCACATAGACTTTTGATGACTTGGAGATGCCCTTACTCAAACAAGTGATTTATTACAAGGACAACAGAAATGTTAAACAATTAAGTGATTTGCTAAGAATCATTTCAAGTTTATGGGACATTAGCTCCAGATCTGATCTTTGCTTTTTACACACATGTATTAATAACAAATATTAGATATATCCTGAAGTAACTAAATCATCAGGAAATAGTGGGTAGAACATTGGACAGAGAGACAGGAAATTGTAAGTTTTAGTTGCTGCTAGTCACTAGTTCTGTGAGCTTAGGTAAGTCAATTCCCCTTTTTGAACATCAATTTCCTCATTTGTAAAATTCATTCCGTAAATGTTTACTGAAAGCCAACTGTGTTTTAGTTAATGTGCTGGTCACTATAGATGGAAAAACAGATTTGGTAAGGAAGAAAATGAGCCTGGTGTAATGAAAAGAGCACTGGATGGAAAATGAAGTTAATCATGCTCATTACAGTTTGCACTAGATAATTTCTAAGATCACTTCCAATTCTAAAATTCCAGGAGTCTATTTGTTGTTTGGAAGTACTACTAATAGATGTTTAGTACTGTTCTTTAGGGAGGACTGACTTCCTATCCAGGGCTTCCAGCTAATCATAGATGCAAATAAATAGGTGACAACTTGAGTAATGTTATATCACGAATGTCAGAAAGTCATCTCTCTCCAGGCAAGTTTATTGCAGCCTGAAATCATTTACAATTAGCTTACAATGAGCTGAATTTATATCTCATTCTATTTACAAGCTTATGACTTTGAAAAATTCTAAATGTCAGTTTTCATACCATTAAAATAGTGATAATAATAATGCCTAACTTATAAGTTTGTTGTTAAGATATAAAACACATAAAGCATATAATATCTGGCACATCATTAAAAAAAGCAGTATATCATTTTCAAGCACCTTATCTGTAAACAGTTTTATGTGAGACCTCTGGATATAAAAGGAAGCATAGGATATGGTGTTTGCCCTTGTGGAACCCATTAATAATTAAGAAAATAAGATACACACATATAAGTCAAATAAAAATAATATACTATCAAGTCCTAAAAATTATTAGTTGAGAGAAGACATAGTTCTTTGCATACTTTCTGTTTGTCATGTACTGTGTAATGTTTTGTGAAGAATAGAACATTATATAAGATGTAGTCCTTCTTAATAATAGCAGGGATTATTTCTTGCACAGACCCACACCCCCTCACCACCCCCAACCCACACACACACACGGAGAAAGAGAGAGAGAGAGAGAGAGAGTAAAATGTAGTAAAGTGTAGTTTAAAGGCTGTTGATTGGATTGAAGGATGCAAAGTATTGTTTCTGGGTGTGTCTGCGAGGGTGTTGCCAAAGGAGGTTAACATTTGAGTCAGTGGACTGGAAGAGGCAGACCAAACTTCAATCTGGGTGGGCACCATCTAATCAGCTGCCAGCATGGCTTAGGATAAGATAACAAGAACCATGAAGGATTTAGACAGGTGGCAGTGATAAGGGTGACAGATAGAGGGACATAGAGCAGCTGTCTCGGAAAGATAGTTTTTCCAACTTCCCTAGAGGGCTTTCTAACCATCCTGGAGTCCTCATTTCTTGTAAAGTTAGGAATGCAAACATTCCACAAAACCTTCAGGCTGGCTGGCTGAATGCATTATTCTTTAACTGAATGAAAGGTAGCTGGGAAAGCCACACAAAGAAAAGAAACCAAATATCTCCCACTTGGCAAATTTTC
The DNA here is from genome assembly GCF_000001405.40 of Homo sapiens. Taxonomy (NCBI): domain Eukaryota; kingdom Metazoa; phylum Chordata; class Mammalia; order Primates; family Hominidae; genus Homo; species Homo sapiens. Next base: position 81,586,125 of record NC_000023.11, on the reverse strand, counting down.
TGCTGGTGACAGGCCAAGATAACAAGTTAGGATGAGACTTTGCTGCTTATTTTTTAAGGAGGTCATCATTGTCAGCCTTAAAGTAAAATACTCCTATTAACATTTTCTTCAAATGAAGATTATAATCATCTTTTTCCCTGAGGATATCTTCAAGCTTTAAGAACCCCTGGATAAAACTAACTTACATGGGAGTAGAGAGGTTCATAAATTAACTGTGGACTAGAATCTTGTGTAGGCCAGCATGTGCTTCCATGTGAAAGTTACCCATTGGCTTTTATAAAAATAAGTTGTATTAATGACAAAGGTCTGGCAACTAAATTAAGGAAATGAAGAGTAAGTAACTGGCAATATGTGGAGAATTATATAGTGAGATCTGATTTATTTCAAGTTTTCAAAGCCTAGGACTATGTTTACTGTTAAAGTTAAAACAGTTGTTTTGATCACTAAAAAGATGGAGATCCACATGTACTATGAATTTCACATTCTCGTTCCTATTTACAGTACTGCCAAAAGGATGGTTTCCACTTATCAACATTCATTTTACAACCCATCATCCCTCTCACTTGCTGTAATATGTCTTAAAAGTTGATAATATTGCATGAGGAAATCTCATGTAGAGGACATTATCAGTCTTTAAAAAAGTAAGATAGAATCTTGCCTAAATAGATACCAATATATTGCAAGGGAATTATTTCTGAAGATTAAATGCAATGTTATTATTCATTAGCTACACGCAAAATATATGATTACCAAGCAACCATATCATAAATCATTATTTTAACTACTTCAGTTCATTCAATATCTCTGATATATTTTTGAGAATCATTTCTAAATTTTTCATTTTGACATTATTAGAAGACATACATAGCAATTAAAATGTTATCATTTATCTACATTATTTTCTCCGCTAGAAATAATAAGGTAGCACAAAATATAAGGCTGCATCCATGTGAATTATATGTGGTTAATGAAAGTTGATTGGTTTTTTTATTTACTATATAACACTAAGATCAATTTGAGAACTGTTTGACATACGTGTTTTGTGTTCATTTTTTTTAAATTATCAAAGATCAGGTTTAAATATTAAAGTAAATCTCAATATCCAACACACCATTGTAAGAATTAATGCTGCTTAAATTTATCTATGATTATTTTCCTATGAAATTTAATGTATTAAATTTAAAATATTTTCCTAAATTTACAAGGGATAAAATGTTAGTTATGCTTTTCATTTTCCATATGAGATATGTATAATTTTAGCCAATCTTTGGTATTGTTTTAGTTATGTTTACAATTTGTCATATAGATTTTTAAACAGTTGGAGATTCACCCCTATGGTTTTACTGTCTTATAGGTAACACAATGTTACGCGTGAAGATAAAATAATAGAGATGCACCTACTCAGTCCCAGCTGGGTTGTTTAGCATAGATCCATAGAAACAGACATTCAGTTTGTAATATGATAAATGAAATTATATTTATACTGTCAAACTTTTCTATTAATTATCTTACAATTCTTGACAGTCTTATCTGCTAAGATATTAAGCATTGAAATTCCACATTTTTCTGAAAGTTATCAAAATAGTTTATTTTTTAACTTTCAACTTTATTTTAGATTTGGGGTTACATGTGCAGGTTTGTTACATGGGTATATTGCATGATGCTCAGGTTTGTGGTATAATTGATCCCATCACCTAAGTAGCGAGCATACTACCCAATAGGTAGATTTTCAGGCCTTCCGCTCTTTCCTCTCTCCCACCTTCAGTAGACCACAGTCTGCATTGTTCCCATCTTTATGTCCTTGTGTACCAAATGTCTAGCTCCCATTTGTAAGTGCAAATATGTGGTATTTGGTTTTCTGTTACTGGATTAATTCGCTTAGGATAATGGCCCCCCCATTGCATCCATGTTACTGCAGATAACATTATTGAATTACTTTTTATAGCTGGTGTGATGGTTAATATTGAGTGTCACCTTGACTGGATTGAATGATGCTAAGTATTGTTTCTGGGTTTGTCTGTGAGGATGTTGCCAAAGGAGATTAACATTTGAGTCAGTGGACTGGGAGAGGCAGACCCAACTTCAGTCTGAGTGGGCACCATCTAATCAGCTGCCCGCATGGCTTAGGATAAAAGCAGGTAGAAGAACGTGGAAAGACTAGACTGGTTTAATCTTCTGGCCTCCATCTTTCTCCCACGCTGGATGCTTCCTGCCCTAAAACATCAGAATCCAAGTTCTTCAGCTTTCGGACTCGGACTAGCTTCCTTTCTCCTCAACTTGCAGACGGCCTATTGTGGGACCTCACCTTTTGATTGTGTGAGTCAGTGCTCCTAACTAAGCTCCCCTTTATATATACATCTATCCTATTAGTTCTGTCCCTCTAGAGAACCCTGGATAATACAGATTTTTAGTATTCCATGATGTATATGTATCATACTTTCTTCAGCTAATTCACCATTGATGGGAACCCAGGTTGATTCCACATCTTTGCTATTAAAAATAGTGCTACAATGAACAACATCAGTGCTTGTGTCTTTGGTAGAATTATATATTTTCCTATGGGCATATACCCAGTAATGGAATTGTTGGGTCAAATGATAGTTCTATTTTAAGTTCTTTGAGCAACTCCAAACTGCTTTCCACATGGCTGAACTAATTTACATTCCCTCCAACAATGTGTTACTGTTCCCTCTTCTGTGCAGCCTTTCCAATATCTATTGTTTTTTGACTTTTGAATAGTAGCCATTCGGATGGTGTGTGAGATGGTATCTCATTGTCTTTTTGAATTGTATTTCTCTGATAACTTGTAATGTTGAGCATTGTTTTAACATTTTCATTAGCTGCTTATATGTCTTCTTTTGAGAAGTGTCTATTTGTGTCCTTTGTTTGCTTTTTAATCAGGTTATTTGCTTTTTGCTTGTTGAATTGTTTAAGTTCCTTAAAGATTCTGGATATTAAACCTTTATCAGGTGCATAGTTTGTGAGTATTTTTTCCCACTCTGTAGGTTGTCCGTTTATTATACTGATAGTTTCTTTTGCTGTGCAGAAACTTTTTAGCTTAATTTTGTCCCATTTGTCCATTTTTGTTTTTGTTGCAATTGCTTTTGGGGACTTAGCAATAAATTATTCCCCAAGGATGATGTCCAGAATACTATTTCCTATGTTTCCTTCTAGGATTTTCATATTTTAACATTTTACATTTAATTATTTAATGCATCTTGACTTAATTTTTGTATATGGGGAGAGGTAGGGGTCTAGTTTCGTTATTTTACATACGGCTAGCCAGTTATCCCAGCACCATGTATCAAATGGGGAGTCCTTTCCCAATAAATTGTTTTTATCAGACTTGTTGAAAATCAGATGGTTGTAGATGTGCAGCTTTATTTCTTATTATCCTATTAAGTTCCATTGGTTTCTATGTGTGTTTCTGTACCAGTACTATGCTGTTTTGGTTACTGTAGCATTATAATATTGTTTGAAGTCGTGTATAATAAAACTTGAATATATATTTATATATATACATATATATATGACATAATATAATATCTTTTGAAGTGGGATGTCTTTGGCTTTATTCTTTTTCCTTACGATTGTTTTGGCTACTCTGCTTCTTTTTCACTTCCACATTAATTGTAGGATAGTTTTTTCATGTTCTGTGAAGAATTACATTGGTAGTTTGATAGGACTAGTATTGAATCTGTACATTGCTTTAGGTGATGTGGACATTTTAATTGTACTTACTCTTCCAATCCGTGAACATGGAATGCTTTTGCATATATTTGTGTCAATTCTAACTTTTTTCAGCAGTGTTTTGTAGTTCTCCTCGTAGAGGTCTTTCACCTTCTTTGTTAGCTATATTCGTAGGTATTTCATTTTCTTTGTGGCTACTGTAAATGAGATTGCATTATTGATTTGACTCTCAGCCTGGACATTATTGATGTATGGAAATGCTACTGATTTTTGTACATTAGTTTTATTGTTTATCTGTTCTAGTAGTGTTTGGTGGAGTCTTTAGGGTCTTCTAATTATAGAATCATCATCAACAAAGAGGCAGTTTGACTTCTTCTTTTTCTATTTGGATGCCATTTATTTCTTTCTCTTTCCTGATTTCTACGGCTGGTACTTCTAGTACAATGGTGAATAGGAGTGATGAGGGTGGGCATACAAGCCTTCTTCTTGTTTTTAAGGGGTCTGCTTCCAGATTTTGTCCATTCAATATGATGTTGGCAGTGAGTGTGTCATAGATGACTCTTATTATTTTGAGGTATGTTCCTTGCCAGCTTTCTTGATTTGTTGAGGGCTTTTCATCATGAAGGGATGTTGGATTCTTTTACAAGCTCTTTCTGTGTCTATTGAAATAATCATATAATTTTTGTTTCTAATTCTGTTTCTGTGGTGAATCACAGTTATTGATTTGCATATGTTAAGCCAAACATGTGTCCCTGAAATAAACCCTTTTTGATGTGCTATACTAAATTTCAACATGCTGCTAGATTCGGTTTGCTGGTATTTTATTGAATAATTTTCATCTATGTTTTCAGGGATGTTGGCCTGTAGTATTCCTTTTTCATTGTGTCTTTGCCAGTTTTTATATCAAGATGGTGGTGGCTTTGTAGAATGAGTCAGGGAGGAGTTTTCCTCCTGAATTTTTAAGAATAGTTTCAGTAGAATTGGCACCAGTTCTTTGTTTGTCTGGTAGAATTTGGCTGTGAATCCATCTACTGTGGGAAAAACTTTTATTGCTTGGCAGAATTTTTTATTACATATTCAGTGTAAGAAATCAATATTAATCTGTTCAGGTTTTCAATTTCTTCCTGATTCAATCTTGGGAAGTTGTATATTTCCAGGAATGTATCTATTTTCTCTAGATTTTCTAATTTATGTACATAGAGCTGTTGGTAATATTCTCTGATAATCTATTGTATTTCTGTGCAATCAGCAGTAATGTCACATTTGTCATTTCTAATTGTGCTTATTTGTACCTTACCTCTTTTTTCTTTTTTCTGTTTCAGTCTAACTGGCTATTAATTGATTTTGTGCATTCTTTCTTGGAGCCAGCTTTTGGTTTCATTCATACTTTGCATGGATTTTTGGGTCTTAGCTTCTATCAGTTTTGCTCTGATTTTAGTTATTTCTTTTCTTCTGCTAACTTTGGGGTCAGTCTGTTATTGGTTTTCTAGTTCCTCTATGTATGATTCTAGATTGTTAATCTGAGGTCTTTCTAGATTCTTCATGTAAGCATTGAGCAGTATAGACTTTTTTCTTAACAGTACTTTTTCTGCCTTCTGGAGATTTTGTTATGTTGTGTTTTTGTTTTCATTTATTTCATTTTTTTTTATTTCTGCCTTAATTTCGCTGCTTACCAAAAAGTCATTCCAAAGCAAGTTTTTAAATTTCTATGTAATTCTGTGTGTCTGAGAGATATTTTTCATACTGATTTTTACTTTTATTCCACTGTGCTCTGAAAGTATGGTTAATATGACATTATTTAAAAAAAAATTGTTGAGACTTCCTTTATGGCCAAGCATTTGATTGACTTTGGAGTATGCTCCATGTGCAAGTAACAAGAACATATATTCTTTGACTTGATGAGTGAAGTGTTCTGTAGATGCTTATTAGGTCAAATTGGTAAAGTCTCAAATTTATGTTCAGAATTTATTTGTTAGATTTCTTCCTCCATGGTCTTTGTAATGCTGTCCATGGGGTTTCAACGTCCTCCACTAATATTGTGTGACTGCCTATGTCTTTTCAGACATCTAGATGTAGTTGTTTTATGAATCTGGATGCTCCAGTATTGGATATATTTAAGATATTTGAATCTTCTTTTTGTATTGAACTTTTTACTATTATGTAATGCATTTCTTTGTGTTTTTATTTTTTTGTCATTGGCTTAAAGTTTATTTGATCTCCTATATAGTGATCCGTGCTCTTTTTGTTACTGTTTTTGGTTTGAATGATAGATTTTTCTCCAACCTTTTACTTTTAGCCTATGGGTGCTGTTACATGTGACATGAGTCTCTTGAAGACAGCTGTTAATGGGTGTTGTTTTTTGTTTTTATTTTTTTTTATTTTTTTATTTTACTTTAGCATGTGCTTTTTGGGGGGGGAAATTAGAATATTTACATTCAAGATTAATGTTGATAAATGAGGTTTTGATTTTATCATGAAGTTGTTAGCTGATTGCTTTGTAGTCTCAATTATGAAGTAGCTTTGTAGCATCCTTGGGCTGTGTACTTAAGTTCTTTTTTTATTTTTTTTCTTTCTGGTAGCAGATATTGTTCTTTTGTTTTCATGTTTAGAATTCCCTTAAGGATCTCTTGTGAGACTGGTCTGTGGTAACGAAATTTCTCAGTGGTTACTTATATGGAAAATATTTTATTTCTCCTTTGTTTATGAAGCTTAATAAAGTGGGATACAAAATTCTTGATTGTAATTTCTTTTCCTTAAGAATGCTGAAAATTCACCATCAATCTAGTCTGACTTGTAAGGTTTTTGCTAAGAATGCCACTGTTAACCTTATGGGGTTCCCTTTGTAGGTGATCTTACCTTATTCTCTAGCTGCCTTTATAATTTTTTCTTTAGCATGGCCTTGGAGAGCCTGGTGACTGGATGCTCTGGTGATATTCATTTGTATAGTATCTGGGAGGTGTTCTCTGGATTTTTTGTATCTGGATGTCTAGCAAGGTTAGCAAAATTTTCTTGAAATATTCCCTCAAATATGTTTTCCACGTTATTTACTTCTCTCAGGAATGTCAATAATTCATAGGTTTGGTTGTTTTACATAAGCTCATATTTGTTGGAGGCTTTGTTCATTGTTTTAAATTATGTTTTCTTTAATTTGTCTGACTGGGTTTGTTCAAAAGATCTGTCTTGAAGCTCCAAAATTATTTTCTTCTGCTTGCTCTAGCCTATTGATAAAGCTTTCAATTGTATTTTGAAATTTTTAAGTGAGTTTTTCACTGCCAGAAGCTTTGATTTATTTGTTTTTAAGATGTTTACCTCTTATTAATCCACCTAAGTGTTATACCTGCCCACCACCTGAGAGTTCAATTGGTGATCCACGTGATTAGGTGGATTGTTTTAGATGTTTCTTCGTGTTGATTTTCCAACTTGTCTTGGATCCTGTTGTGCTTCCTTATAATCCATGCTCTGATTTCTTTATCTGTCACTTCTAAGTTTCCACTTTGGTTAGAGTCCATTGCTAGAGAACTAGAGTAATTTTTTGTTAGTGTTGCAGCATCCATATTTTTCATGGTGCCAGATTTCTTATACTGGTTCCTTCTCATCTGGAGAGGCTGGCACTTCTAATTTGTGTAATTATTTTGATAAAGATAAGGATTTTTTTTTCTATATATAAATTCCCTTTTCTCCCTCTCTAAGTGGTGTGACTGCGGAGTATGCTGGTTAGGGTATTTTGGTTTTGCTTCTATAGCCACTTCTGTTGGCAGGTTTTATATTGAGCTCTGCAGTTTGACCTACAGGCCAATCAATGGATTTTATGAGTAAGAGCCAACTGTGGCACAGGCAGATGGTATGTACCTGATGTTTGCTTACAGCATGGTGCTCTCTGTTGTTTCAGGTAATGGACTATACAGTAGCATGCCCAGTGCCTTGAGTTTCCAGTTCTTTGCATGGTTAGGGGTCAGGGGAGAGGTGAGAGATGGAGCTCCTGATTTGCCCACAAATACCCCTACGAGGAGCATAGACAACAATTTTGACAAGAGTGGCTGGGAGGAGCTCCTGGTGAAATGCACTGAGATTTCTGCAGCAGTGTGAAAAAGCTGCACTAGCTTCTCATCTTAGATAGACAGAAATATGTACTCTTACCTTTCAACACTCCTGTTCCAGGGCTCTTGAGTTCTAGTTCAGATGCACACTGTAGTCTATCCCTGGACCACAATGCATTTGAGCCTCAAGAAATGCCTGTTTTATGACTCCTCATGGCAGTGGTTTCAGAGAAAAACTTTATCACTCAGCCTGATACAGATAGCTTATGGCTTGCCTTTTCTCTGATGTGGTAGCCCTGCTGCTTTATGTTAAAGGGAGGAAAGAGTCCACCATTAGGCTTATTCATGTGGGTGCTGGTTGTTGCGGTGTCTGCTGGTTGGGTTGGCCCAACTTCAGGCTGTGAGACAAGTGGTCAGGTGGCAGCAGAGTTGGAATGGGTTAGGTAGTTCCACAATTCCCAGACCCTTAGATGGTCTGCTGGACAGTATCTGTGAATCCCGGTGGGGCTGGACCATGTTCAGGCTATACCAGGGCTCAGGTACTGGCTGAGATGGGGAGAGGCAAGCTGGTCCCTGGATCACCAATTGAACTCTTAGATGGGGGGCAGGTAGAACACTTAGGTGGTGGGAGCCTGGTGGAAGATCACAGGCCTATAGGTAGAGTTTTCAGAAGGGCTCTGGGCCACAGCTGAAATGCTCAGGTGGGCACAGGGTGGGTGCACTGGAAGCCAGAAGGCAGCAATCCCCATTCAGGAGGGAGCCATGGGTCAGGGGTCACACAGTAAACAGTCTGGTCATCTCTCATTACATTGACTATGGCATGTTGATAGCACGCAAAACCACTCAGCCATTTTGTTATTTCCCTAGTCTGAGGGCAGCAGGGGTGGGGGCAGTGTCAAAGATGGTCACAGACAGCCTGTCAGTTACCTTTGGGAGTTCTGTCCCAAAAGATTGCAGAGCCACAACCAACCACAGTGATCAGGTGGAGGTGTAGCAGCTGCACTGGGGGCCTAAACCAGCCGGGGCTGCCTGGCAAGGAGCAGTGGGGGTAGGGAGGGGGTCACATGGTAAACAGTGTGGCCACCACTCAGTATGGTAACTGTAGGGTATTGAAGGCAAGCCTCTTTGTTACCTCCCAAGCCTGAGGTCAGTAAGGGTGGGAACAGTGACAGCTGTGATCACAGAGGGCCTGTCAGTGACTTCTGGAAATTCTGCCCTAGAGGAATGCAGAGCCACAAATAAATTCTGTGACCAGGTGAGGGTGAAGCAACTTTACTGGGTGCCCAAACTGGCAGGCCCTGCATGGTAAGGAGCAGCAGAGGCAGGGTCTGCAATCTGCCTACTTCTCAAAAACATGGCTGTGGCATCTATCCTAACGGTGTTGGCAGAGCTGTGGCAGCTGGTACTAGAGTGTTCAGAAATCGAAGGCCCATGGGGCTGTACCTGGGCTTAAGAAGTGTCTCTGCACAGACTCTAGGCAGCTCTCTGGGTCAGTCTGGAGGCCCAAGGGTGTCACAAGGATTCTCCTATGCCCAGGATTGCAAACGTCCATGAGAGAAGTGTAGATTTCCTGGGGGCTCTCACTCATTCACTCTTTCCTTACATTAGGGAACTCCCCCTGTCTCCATGCCAGTCCCAGGTTGGTGGCTTCCTGGATTTGCTCCTCTATGTTCTCTTTGTGTTTCATTGCTTAATTGGCGAATCCCAACATGATCTTTAGATGATCCACTATAAGAGCCAGTATTAAGTCACAACTTTGCTTCCTCTCTATGACAGTGGCATGTACTAACTGCTTTTTTTCAGCCTATCTTGAACTGGTACCTCCTCAAATAGTTTATCAGATGGTACTATAACCACCCAAATGTCACTAAAATTTAATATAACACTCTGTCTCTTATCAACAGGAGAGTATAGTTTTCACCCTTATTAGGTAGCTAACAACACTATGTAAAACAATTCACAACTTCTTGATCTTTGGCACATGGATATCATTCATAAAAGGTGAGTCAGTAAATAATTTTTAATACTTGGGAAAGTAGGTTTATCTGTTGAAACATGACTTTTGTCACCGTTGCCTTTTATCTGAGTAAAAGCAAAAAAAAAAAAAAAAAACAAAAAAAAAAAAAAAAAAAACATGGCTTTTTAACTACTGTTTCAATTCTGGCCACAATTTGGCATTGAACAGAAATTTTATATCACGAACTACTTTATGCAAAAGGTACAAGGAGTCTTTCTATTTAATTTCAAAACAACAGATTTGCTAGATTTGTAGCTATGAAGCACAAATGAATTAAAATTATATTTTAAAAATTCATTTAATCATTCTTACAGTGAATAAGTTATTTATTCCATATTTTCACTATAGGATTATTATTAAAAGTCAGAAGGTTGAATTACAGGGAATATGTACTTTTTACAGTATTTATTATTCTTTTTTTCAGTAAGCAGGTATTACTTTCGAAAACTACCCTTTAAATTGAAGCATACATTTTTAAAGTCTTACAGGAGGTGTAATTTCAGCGAAATAAATATATAGGCATAAATATGTACATTTGTACCTCCATAGAAGGGAAATTAGCTTCCCAATAATAAAAATGTTTGTCACTGAACCTAAACCTAAAATTCAACCTAATGACGAAGATCATTAATGTACTTCTCGCTAATTACCACTTCCTTTTGTTAGTGGTAATAAATAATATAAATCCATATTTTAAAATTTATTTGTTAGAATATCCTTTCTGATGGATCCACTATTTTATTGAGTATAACTCCTGTGGTTTTCAAAATGTGTATTTTTTCAAATGTATATATCCTTATGTTGTCTTTTAATTCTCTTATTTTTATTTCTTACTATAGAAAGAAAACAAATAGTATGAAATTTGTAATCTTAACCATTTTAAAATGTATAAATACTGTTAAGTATATTAATATTGCTGTGCAACAATTTTTTTTTCTTTATCTTGAAAACAAAAGGTCTAAACCCATTAAAAAATCTCCTCATTTCCTCCTCTTCCCAGCCCCTGGAAACCACTATACTATTTTTTTTTCCAAGAATTTGACATTAACTGTTTCATATAAGTTGAATTATACATTGTATTTTGTGATTGATTTATTTTATTTAACATAGTGTCCTTAAGATTCATTCATGTTGTAGCATGTGACAAGATTTCTTCTTTGTCAAGACTGAATGATATTCCATTGTATGTATATAGCAAATTGTGCTTATCCATTTATTGGTCAATGGACAGTGTGATTGTTTCTACTTCTTGAATATTGTGAATAATGCTAAGAAGGTGGGAGAATATATCATTGAGACTCTGCCATCAATTTTTTAGATATATATCCACAAGTGGAATTGCTGGATTATATGGTAATTCTAATTTTAATTTTTTTGAACAACCTCCATACTGTATTCCATACATCCTGCACCTCATACATTCCCTGAAACAGCACACAAGGGTTCTAATTTCTTCACATTTTCTATACAGTTTCTCCATTGGTTATTTCCTTTATTATTTTTAAGTCATTAGTTGTTTTTAAATTTAATGTTATTTCTGTATTTTTATCATTTTTTATTGATACATAAACATTGTGCGTATTTATGGGGTACGTGTGATATTTTGATATATACATACAAATACAATGGGTACTAATCAAATCAAGGTATTTAGGACATCCATCACCTCAAACATTTATAATTTCTTTGTGTTGGAAACGTTACTAATCTCCCAGAGCTTTTTTGAAATATGCAATATATTGTTGTTAACTGTCACCCTACTATGCTATCAAACACTAGAATGTATTCCTCCTCTCTAACTGTATGTTTATACCAATTACCCAAATCGTCTTCATCCCCCTTACCCTTTCTAGCCTCTGGCAATTATCTTTCTACTCTCTTTCTCTAAGAGATCAAACTTTTTAGTTCCCGTATATACGTAAGAACATGCAATATTTGTCTTTGTGCATGTCATTTATTCCTCTTAACATAATTGCCTCCAGTCCCATCCATGTTGATGCCCATGACAAAATTTCATTCTTTTTGTGGCTGAATAATATTCTATTTTGCACATATACCACGTTTTCTTCATTCATTCATCCTTACATGCACACTTAAGTTGATTCCATATCTGGGCTATTGTGAATAGTTCTGTTAAAAAACATGAAAATACAGGTACCCCTTTAGTGTAATGATTTTCTTTTCCTTTTTTTTTTTTTTTTTAAGATGGAGTCTCACTCTGTCGCCCAGGCTGGAGTGCAGTGGCACAATCTTGGCTCACTGCAACCTCCGCCTCCCGGGTTCAAGCAATTCTCCTGCCTCTGCCTCTGGAGCAGCTGGGATTACAGGCGCATGCCACCATGCCCAGCTAATTTTTGTATATTTTTTTAGTAGAGATGGGGTCTCACCATGTTAGCCAAGCTGGTCTCGAACTCCCGACCTCAAATGATCTTCCTACCTCTGCCTCCAGAAGTACTGGGATTACAGGCATGAGCCACTGTGCCCAGCCTAGTGTAATGATTTTCTTTCCTGTGAATAAGTACTCTGCAGCGAGATTATTGGATGGCATGATAATTCTATTTCTGGCTTTCTGAAAACCTCCATATTGTTTTCCAAAATAGCTGTGCTAATTTACAATCCAAACAACTGTGTATAAAAATTCCGTGTCCTCTGCATCCTTGTCAGCATTTGTTATTTTTTGTCTTTTTGATAATAGCTATTCTAACTGGGGTGAGATGAAATCTCGTTGTGGTTTTGATTTACATTTTTCTGATGATTAGTGATATTGAATACTTTTTCATATATCTCTTGGCCATTTATATGTGTTATTTTGAGAAATATCTATTAATATCCTTTGCCCACTTTCTAATGAGATCAATATTATTAGTATTATTTTGCTATTGAATTGTTTAACTTCCTTGTATATTCTTAGGTATTAGACCAGAATGTCACATGAGTTACCTAGAAATATTTTCTCCTACTCTGCAGGCTGTTTCTTCATTCTGTTGATTGTTTTCTTTGCTATGCACAATCTTTTTTACTTTAATACAGTACCATTTTCCCATTTTTGTTTTTGTTGCCTGTACATTTTAGGTCTTAGTCACGAAATCTAACTATACCAATGTCCTTAAGAATTTACCTAATGTTTTCTTCTACAGTTTTATAGATTCGAATCTTAATTTCATGTGTTTAAATTTTCAGTTCATTTTTGTATATAATGAGTGTAGGATACTTGTTTCATTTTTCTGCATATGAATTCCAGTTTCTCCAGCCTGATTTATTGAAGAGGGTGTCCTTTCCTTGGTGTATGTTCTTGGCACCAATGTCAAGAATTACTTTGTTCTAAGTACATGCATTTATTTCCAAGTTCTCTATTCTATTAGTCTATGTTTCTGTTTTTATATCAATACCATTCAGTTTTTGTTAAGATGCTTTGTAGTATTTTTTGAAGGAAGCTAGTGTGATGCCTCCAGCTTTGCTCTTTTTTTCTATTATTCGTGATTACATTCAGGCTTTTTTTTTGGTTCCATATGAATTGTAAGATTGTTTTTACTATTTCTGTGAAAAATGAAATTAGTATTTTGATAGAGGTTGCATTTAAGCTATAGACTGCTTTGTGTGGTATGGTCATTTTAACAATGTTAATTATTTCAGTCTATGAGCAGGGGATAATTTGCCATTTGTTTGTGTCCTCTTTAATTTTTTTCATCAGTATTTCGTAGTTTTCCTTATAGAGGTCTTTCACTTTCTTTTAAAATGTTATTCCTAGATATTTTGGGTTTTAGTAGCTATTGTAAATGGAATTGCTTTTTTGATTTGTTTCTCAGCCTGTTTGTTATCAATGTACTGAATTTATTTGTCAGTTCTAAGATTATTTGTGAAGTCTTTAGGTAGGTGAGTATATATGTGTGTCTGTGTATATATGTGTATGTGTATATATGTGTGTGAGGGAAAATTTTACTTCCTCTTTTCCAATATAGGAGCCTTTTATTTCTGTTGTTTGCTTGATTGCTCTAAGATTTCTTGTGCTGTGTTTAAAAAGAGTAGTAAAAGTAATCCTCCTTGTCTTGTTACAGTTCTTAGAAGATCTTCAGTTTTCTCCATTTCATATGAGATTAGTCATGGGTTTGTCACATATGGCCTCTATTATGTAAAGGTATGTTTCTCCTATGCCTAATTTGCTTGGTGTTTTTATTATGAAATGATGTTGAATTTTATCAAATGTTGTTTCTGTACCTATTCATATGATCATATGGTTTTTAGCCTGTATTTGGTTGATGTCATGTGTCACATATATTAATTTACACATATTGAATTATCCTTTTGTCTCTGGAATAAATCCCACTAAACCATAACGTATTATCTCTTTGATATGTTGTTGAATTTGGTTGGCTAGTGTTTTATTAAAGATTTTTGTGTTTATGTCAATCATGGATACTGGCTTGTAGTTTTCTTTTTTTGTTTGTTGAGTCCTTATCTACCTCCGGCATCAGGGTAATGCTGGCCTTGTAGAATGTGTCAGGAAGAATTCCCTCCTCTTCACATTTTTAAACTCATTTAAGTAAAATTGCTGTTAGGTCTTCCTTAAAAATTTGGTAGAATTCAGTAGTACAGCTATCTAGTCCTGGGCTTTTCTTTGTTGGGAAGATTTCTATCACTGATTCTATCTCATTATTTGTTATTGGTCTGTTTCTTCGTAATTCAATTTTGGTACCTGCCCAGGAATTTATCAATTTCTCTAGGTTTTCCAGTTAGTGAGTGTTTGTTCATACTAGTCTCTAATAATCCTTTGTCTTTCTGTGACATCAGTTTTATTGTCACCTTGTGCATTTATGATATTATTTGTGTATTTTCTCTTTTTTCTTGTTTAGTCTAGTTAGTGGTTTATCAATTTTATCATTTCAAAAGAACAACTTTTCATTTTGTTGAACCTTCATATTGCTTTTTTAAGTTTTATTTATTTAGTTCTGCTCTGATTTTTATTACCCCTTTCCTTCTACTAATTTTGGGTTTGGTTGGTTCTTGCTTTCCTAGCTTTCTGAGGTGCATCATATTATATTATTTATTGAAACCTTTCTACTTTTTATGTAGGCTTTTATTGCTATAAACTTTCCTCTTACCACTGTTTGTGCCATATCCCATAGATTTTAGTATGTTGTGTTTTCATTTTTGTTTTTCTTGATTTTTTTTTTCATTGACTCAATGGTTGTTCAGGAGCATGTTGTTTAATTTCTATGTATTTTTACACTTTTAAACATTTATCTTGTATTCATATATAGTTTTATTCCACTTTGTTCTGAGAAGAATCTTGATATAATTTTGACTTCTAAAAATTTGTTTTGAAGCATAGCAAATGGCCTATCTGAGAAATTGCTCCATGTGCTAATATAAAGAATGTGTATTCTGAAGCTATTGGATAAAATATTCTGTAAATACTTATTGTCCATTTGGTCTAAAGTTCAGTTTAGATTCAATGTATCTCCATTGATTGATTAAATCCAATGATTCTTCGTATAATGATCTATCCAATGCTGAGAGTATGGTGTTGAGGTTCCCAACTATTACTGTATTCAAGTCTATCTCTCCCTTTAGATCCAGCCATATTTGCATTTTATATCTGAGTGCTCCAGTATTTAGGGCATATATATTTAGAATTGTAATATTCTGTTACTGAATTGATCCGTTTATCATTAATGACCTTCTTTGTCTCTTTTTGTAGGTTTTGACTTAAAGTCTGTTTTATCTGATATAAGTATAGCTACTCCTACTACCTTTTGGTTTCCATTGCATAGAATATCTTTCTCCATTCCTTCCCTTTCAGTCTATACATAGGTGACTCAACTCACTATACAGGTGAGATGAGTTTCTTGTAGGCAGCATATAATTGGTTCATGTACTTTAATTATTTCAGCCAGTCTATATATTTTGATAGGCAATTTAATGAATTTACATTCAATTTTGTTATTTACAGGTGAGGACTTATTCTATCATTTGGTTAGTTGTTGTCTGGCACTTTTCATGTTTTTCGTCCCTTTCTTTCTCTCTTATTGTTTATATTTGCATTTTGGTGAATTTTTTTTTGAGACAGGGTCTCACTCTGCCGCCCAGACTAGAGGGCAGTGGTGTGATCTTGGCTCACCGCAACCTCCACCTCTTGGGCTCAAGAGATTCTCCTGCCTCAGCCTCCCAAGTAGCTGAGATTACAGGTGCCTGCCACCACGCCCAGCTAATTTTTGTAGTTTTAGTAGAGATGGGGTTTCACCACATTGGCCAGGCTGTTCTCAAACTCCTAATCTTAGGTGATCTGCCCGCCTCGGCCTCCCAAAGTGCTGGGATTACAGGCATGAGCCATCATGCCCAGCCTGCATTTTGGTGATTTTTTAGAGAGATCATATTTTATTTTTTACTCTTGGTGATTTGCCTCTACTGTACCACTGAGTTTTATACTTTTTTTGTTTTCATGATGGTAGATACCATTCCTTCGTTCTCAGATATAAGGCTCCCTTAAGCATTGTAGGTCTTTTATGATGGTGATGAATTCACTCAGTTTGGCTTATGTGAGAAAGATTTTCTTTATTCTTATTTTCTTAAGAATATTTTTGCTGGGTATATTATAAATGGCTGGCACATTATTTTAATTTATTTTTTTTGCATTCAGTACTTTGAATACATGCCCCCACTCTCTCCTTGTCTATAAATTTTCCGCTGAGAAATATGCTGTGAGTGTAATGAGGACTTTTTTATATGTAACATTTTTTTCTTGCTGTTTTAAGAGACCTCTTTTTTTTTTTTTACTTTTGACAGACTATAATATGCCTAAGTGAAAAACATTGTGGGTTTAATCTATGTTAGAATATCTAAACCTCCTTATCTGTTTGTCCATTTTCTATACTTTTTGCCATTTCTTCTTCTGGAATGCCCAAAATTTGAATATTTGATCACCTTACAGTATCCTTTATATCGTGGCTTTCTTCATTTTTATAAATTATTTTTTTCCTTTTTCTCTGTCTGGATTCTTTGAAAAGACCAGTCTTCAAGTTCAGAATTCTTTTCCTTCTGTTTGACCTAGTTTATTGTTTAAAACTTTTGATTGTATTTTATATTTTATTGAGTTCTTAGCTCTAGAATTTATCTTTTTTTAATGAAATCTCTTTGTTTAACTTCTCACTCAGATCATGAACCATTCTGAGCTTCTTTAATATCATTATTTTGAATTCTTTTTCAGACATTTAGTAGATTTATTTTTCATTGGAACCTGTTGTTGGAGAATTATTATGTTTCTTTGAAGTTATATATCCTTGCTTTTTAATTTTTCTTCTGTCCTTATATTGATATCTGTACATCCATTGTAATGATGACTTTTTCCAATTTTATGGTTTGCCTTTCATGAGAAAAGACATTTTACTAAATATGTATCAATAGTTTTGGTTGAATAGGGTACTTTGTCTTTAACTATTGGTAGGCACAGTAGTTTAGTCTCCACATAGTTTATTCAGCTCCAATCAGTATCAGTGGGGTTTCTGAGTTTCTTAGTGGCTTAGGCTGTGGTTCTTAATAGAGGCTGTGGTGAGGCTTTGCTGGGGATAGGAATACAATGTGGGCAAGTTCTCAGGTACCAGTGGTGGCAGAGGCTGGTTTTTGGGCCACTGGTTGGCATACATGGGCACCAACAGTAGTGTTTTCATGTGGCCCAATCCTCATGCCTCCAGGCAACATACACAGGTGCTAGCAGTGGCAGTGAAGGACTGGGTAGATGGGCAGATTTTTAAGCCCCTGGGTAGCATGCATGGTGTAGGTGATGACGGTAACAGTAGCGAAACAGCCCTTGGGTTCCAAGAAAGCACATACTTGTGTTAGCAGTGGTAGCAACAGGCTGAGTGGACCAATCCCAAGGCACCTAGGTGGTGCATTTGAGTGGGTGATAGCAGTTATGGTAGCAGCAGACTGAGTGGGTTCATTTTCAGGTTGCCAAAAGGCATGCATAGGTGCTGGCTGTGGTGGGAAGGGTGGACCAATTTCCGGGCCCCCAGGCAATGTGCATTGTTGCAGGCAAAATAAATAGTTGTATCCTCAAGCCTCTGAAAGCCATGTACAGTTACTGGCAGTGGAAGATGGGGTAGATTGGTCGCCAGGCCTCTGGATGATGCATATGGGTACTGACAGAGACAGCACAAGGCAGGGAAGTGTTGTTCTAAGGGCCCCCAATGGTGTGCAAGGGTGCAGGCTGTGTTGAGAAGGACCATTTGAACCCCAGACCCCCAGACAACATGCATGGGCACAAGCAGGCTGAGTTGTCTTGTGCTCAGGACCCTAGAAAATATTCACAAGTGCTGGTGTCAGTGGGTGACATGGGTCAATCTCCATTTTTCTGAACAGCACACTCAGGCACAGAAGGCAGTGGCAGTGCATGATGCAGGCCTGCCCTCATGCTCCCCCACCAAATTTATGAAGGTGCAAGCTGCAGTGGGTGATGCAAGTTGATCCCCAGGCTCCCAAGCAACATGCTCAAACACAGTGAGAGGGGCAAGCCTGCCTCAAGCCAAAGGATTGCATGCATGGGTGTTGGCATTGGGTACAGCATGCCAGTTGTCAGGCTTCTCAGTGGTGCATGCAGGCACCAGCTGTGGAAAGTAGGATGGGTTAATCCCCTGTTCCCTTGATGGCACACTCAGGTATTAGAGGTAGTATTGGTGGGTAGGGTGGGCTTGTCTTCAAGTTCCTCAATGCTGCCTATGAGCACCAGCAACAGTGGGAGGGGCAGGTGAATCCCCTGGCTCTTGGACATGGTGGGTCTGTCTTCATGCCTCCTGATGGTGTGTACAAGTACCAACTCTGGTGAGTGGGATGCATCAATCCCCAGGTACCCATATAATGTACTAATTCAGTGGCAGCAGTGGCAGTGAGCAGGGTAGCCCTGTCATCTGTTTATGAGGAAGTATCAAAGTGGGCTGGCCTGCAGTCTCCTTCAAGGCATGTATAGTTGCATGGGGGCCCTGCTGCTTGGGCCAGCGGGTGCTGTCATTGGCAGTGGCTCCAAGCAGGCAGCTTTCAGTTTCTAGGGAGCATGTGCTTTGGCTCCCTTTCTCTTGAAAACAGCATCCCTAGAGCACTGCTTAATTAGGTTATTAGTTTGATTCTTGTTTCTGAGTTGTAGGGTATCTATATATATTCTGTATATTAACCACTTAAATACATAACTTGCAAATATTCTATCCCATAGGTTATCTTTTTACTCTGTTGGTTGTGTCCTTTGATGCACAGAAAATTTTCAAATTGATGTAGTTTCATTTTTTTCTTTTTGAATTTGCTGCCTGTGATTTTGGTGTCATATCAGAGAAACCACTGCCAAATTAATGGTATGAAGCTTTCCCCCATGTTTTCTTCTAAGTTTACAGATTTTAAGGTATTACATTTAGCCCATTAATTCATTTTGAGTTAATTTTTCTATATTGTGTAAGGTAAGCATCTAATGTTATTATTTTGCATGAGAATTTCTAGTTTTCCCAATACCACTTTCTGAAAAGATTGTCCTTTCACTACTGAATGGTCTTAGCATCCTTGTTGAAAATTATTAGACCATTATGTAGGGTGTTTCTTGTGGGCTTTTTATTCTGTTCAATTTTTCTATGTTGTATTTATTACAATGCTGCATTTTTTATTTCTGTAGCTTTCTAATAAGTTCAGAAATCAAGGAATACAAGACCTGCAATGTTGATCTCGTTTTACAATTTTATTGGTGATGCAGGGTCTCAAAATTTTTAACCATTTTAGATAGATTTTCTATTTTTTTCAAAATTTCTGTTGAGCTTTTCATAGATATTTATTAAATTCATCAATGACTTTGAATATTATTAACAACAATACTGTTTTCAAATACATAAACATGGGATATCTATTCATTGTTTATTTAATTTATTTTAGCACTGTTTTGTACTTTTCAGTGTACCAGGCTTTTACCTACTTGGTTAAGTTTATTTCTATGTATTTTATTTATATTTATGCTATTGTAAATGAAATTTTTATTGCTCCATTGTTGTGCTCCTGCAAAGGATTACCTGAGACTCGATAATTTACAAAGAAAGATGGTTTAATTGGCTCATGGTTCTGTAGGCTGTACAAACATGGTACTTGCATATGCTCAGCTTCTGGAGAAGCCCCAGTGAACTTTTCCTCATGGCAGAATGTGTAGTGGGAGCAAGCACATTATATGGCCAGAGCAGGAGCAAGAGGGTTAGAGATGCCACAGTTTTAAACAACCAAATCTCATGAGAACTTACGCATTATTATGGTGAAAGCACAAAGACATGAGAGATCCTGCCCCATAACCCCAACACTTCCCACCAGGCCCCACCTCCAACACTGGGGACTACATTTCAACTTGAAATTTGGGTGGGAACAAGTACCCAAACCACATTATCTGCCCCTGGACCTCCAAATCTCATGTCCTTCTGATATTGCAAAATGCAATTGTGCCTTCTCAACAGTCCCCTGAGTTCTTATCCCATTCTAGCATCAACTCAATTAAAAGTTCTGAGTCCAAAGTCCAAAGTCTCATGTGGAAATTAGTCCCTTCTACCTACAAGCCTATCAAATCAAAACAAATCATTTATTTCCAAAATATAATGGGTGTAAAGGCATTGGGTAAACATTCACACTCCAACAAGAAGAAATTGGCTAAAAGAAAGTGGCTACAGTCCCCATGTAGGTCTGAAACCCAGTAGGGCAGTCATTAAATCTTAAAGCTCCAAAATAGTCTCCTTTGACTCTGTGTCGCACATCCTGAGAACAGTGACATGAGAGGTAGGTTCCCAAGGCCTTGAGCAGCACCACTTCTGTGGCTTTGCAAGGTGCAGCCTTAGTGGCTTCTCTCGCAGGTTGGAGTTGAGTAATTGTGGCTCTCTAGGCACACTGCCAGTGGATCTACCATTCTGAGGTCTAGAGGGCAGTGGTCCTACTCCCACAGATCCACTAGAATGTGCCCCAGTGGTGACTCTCTGTGGGGGCTCCAACCCCACATTTCTCCTCTGTACTGCCCTAGTAGAAGTTCTCTGTGAGGGCTCTGCCTCTGCAGCAGACTTCTACCTAGGAAATCAGGCTTTCTCATACATCCTCTGAAATGTAAGTAGAGATTACCAAGCTTCTTTCACTCTTGCACTGTGTGTTCCCACAGGCTTAAAACCATGTGAAAGCTGCCAAGGCTTATTGCTTGCACTCCAGACTTGAGACCTGAGTTGAACCTGGGTCTGGCTTACCCACAGCTGGAGTTTGAGTGGCCATGATGGGAGTAACAGTCTCCTGGGGTGGGGCAGGGCTGTGGTGCAGTGGTGCACTGGGCCTGGCCCCTGAAACCATTCAGTCTTCCTAAGCCTCAGGGCCTATGATGCAGCAGGCTGCCTAGAAGATCCCTAAAACGCTTTGGAGGCCTCTTTCCCATTGTCTTGACTATTAGCGCTTGACTCCCTTTCAGTTATGCAAATTTATCTAGTAAATGGTTGCTTCACAGCCTCCTTGGATTTTTCCCCTGACAATACTTTGTTTTTTCTTTGCCACAAGGCCAGGCTGTAAATTTTCCAAACTTATATATTCTGCTTCCCTTTTAAATATAGGTGCCAACTTTAGAACATTTGTTCGCTCCTGCATCTGAGCATAGACTGTTAGGAGCAGCCATGTTACTTATTATACATTTTGATAATTAGAAATTTTCTTCACCAGATACCCTAAATTATCACTCTGAAGTTCAAACTTCCACATTTCCCCAGTGCATGCACACAATTTAGCCAACTTCTTTGCTAAGGCATAACAAGGGTGACCTTTGCTCCATTTCTTTTTAGGTCCCTCATTTCCATTTAAGAACTCGTCAGCCTGGACTACTCTGTCTGTATCATTGTCAGCATTTGAGTCACAACCATTTAACCAGTCTTTAAGAAATTGCAAACTTTCCCACATCTTCCTGTCTTCTTCTGAACCCTCGAAACTCTTCCAACATCTTCTCACTACCCAGTTTTAAAATCACTTTCACATTTTCTGATGTCTTTATAACAATGCCCTACACATCTGTTCCAATTTTCTGTGTTAGGCCATTCTTGTGTTGTTATAAATACCTGAGATTGGGTATTTTATTTTTTAAAAAAGAGGTTTAATTGGCTCATGGTTTTGCAGGCTGTATAAACATGGTGCTGGCTTCTACTCAGCCACTGGGGAGGCCTCAGGAAGCTTTGATGCATGGACAAAGGTGAAGCTGGAACAGGCACATCACATGGCCATAGTAGGAGCAAGGCAGTGGGGGAAGATGCCATACTTTTAAAACACCAGATCTCATGAGAACTCACTATTGTGAGGGAAGAACCAAGCCAGGAGAGATCCATCCCAATGACCCAAACACCTCCCACCGGGCCCAACCTCCAATACTGGAGATTATATTTTAACATTTTAACATAAGATTGGGTGGGAACAAATATCCAAACTGTATCATAATTGTCTTCTTAATTTTATTTTTAGATTTCTTATTGTTAACTAATAGAAATGTAACTTATTTTTCTCTGAAGATTTTTTTATTTTGCAACCTTGCCGTTTTATTATTTCTAACAGTATTTTGTAGAATCTTTACCATTTTAAATACAACAAATCTTATCATCTGTGAGCAGAAGTAATGATTCTTTTGCATTTCCACTTTGGAAGGCCTTTTATTTCTTTATTTTTCCTAATTGCTCTGACTAGCACTTCAGTACTATGTTGAATAGAAGTAGCAAAATAAGGCATCCTTGATTTGTTCCTGATCTGAGAGGAAAAATATTTGGTCTTTTGGCATTGAATGTAATACTGAATATGGGATTTTCATAAATGACTTATATAATGCTCTGGTAGTTCCCTTTTATCCCTAATTTGTTGAGTGTTTTTTGTTTGTTTGTTTGTATTATTTTGTTTTTTGTTTTGTTTTTTTTGAAAACCATCCATTTATTAGAGCCAAGAGTATGAAAAGAGGGAAAAGAGGAGGGTAGAAGAGGGGGAGAGAATGAAGTCTGCATCAGATGTCAGTTATGGAAACACAAAAATGCCTACTTAATTTGTTGAGTGTTTTTATCATGAAATGATGTAGAATTTGTCAAGTGATTTTTCTGTCTTAATTATAATGATCATAATGATTACAATGTTTTGGGCCTTTATTTTGTTAAAGAGTTATATTAGATTAATTGGTTTTTATGTTGAGCCATCCTTGTACTCTGGGAATAAATTCTATTTGGTCATGGTTTACAATCATTTAATGTGCTATTGAATATAGTTTGCTAGTATTTTATTGAGGATTTTTACAATAACATTCATCAGAAATATGAATTTGTAGTCCTTTTTTCTTTTAGTGTTTTCATTTGCATTATGTCTTTGAAAGATGGGGTCTCACTCTGTCAGACAGGCTTGAGTGCAGTGGCATGATTACAGCTCACTGCAGGCTCAAACTCCTTGGCTCAAGGGATCCTCCTACCTCAGCCTCCTGATTAGCTGTGACTGCCAGCATGCACCACCATGACCAGTTATTATATTTTAATTTTTTATAAAGACAGGATCTTGCTATGTTGCCCAGGCTGGTCATGAACTCCTGGCTTCAAGCAATCTTCCCTCCTTAGCCTCCCAAAGTGCTATGACTACAGGCATAACTCACCATGCCCAGCCTGTTTGCTTTTGGTAGTAAGGTAATGCTGGCTTTATAGAGTAAGTTTTGGCATTTTCATTACTGTTGAATTCTTTTGGTAAGATTGAAAATGATTGGTATTAATTCTTCTTTAAAAGGTTGATAAAAGTTTCCAGTAAACTCATCAGGTTCTGGGCTTTATTTTGTTGAGAGGTTTTTGATTACTGTTTCAATATCCTCATTAGTTATTGGTCTTTTCAAATATTCTATTTCCTCATTTAGTGTTTGTAGGTTGTGTGTTTCTAGGAATTTATCAATTTGTCTAGATTACTAAAATTGTTGGTGAACAATCTTTCAGACTATTCTCATAATTCTGTTTGTACATGTTCTATTGTTTGTAATACCCTCTCTTTCATTTCTGATTTTTGTTTCTTGGTTCCTATCCATTTCCTTATTAATTAATCTAGCCAAGGGTTTGTAAATCTTGTTGATTTTGTAAAGAAACAAAACAATTCTTAGTTTTATAGATATTTTTTACTTCTATTTTTGATTTTCTACTTTGTTTACATCTATGTTAATCTTTATTATTGCCATCCTTCTGTTAAGTTTGGGTTTTATTTGTTCTTTTATTTCTAGTTATTTGAGGTTTAATGTAATGTGCTTATTTAATTTATATATATATTATTTTATATGTTATATATATTTATTTATAACAAGCATTTACAGTGGAAAACTTTTGTTTTTGCACTGTTCTCTTTTTATCCAATAAATTTGGATATTTGTGTTATCATTTTCATTTTTCTCAACATAACTTCTAATTTCTCTTTTGATTTTTTAACTGACATATGGCTTGTTTAAGCATGTTTTGCCTAATCTCCACATATTTATAGATTTTCCCATTTTCTTTCCAGTATTGATTTTAAGTTTTATTCCATGGTGATGGCACAAAATACTTTTATAAGTTTAGTCTTTTAAATGTGTTAATAGTTTTTATGGCCTAATGTATGATCTATCCTAGAGAATGCTCCATTTGCATTTGAGAAGTATGTTTATTTTGTTGCTGTTGGGTAGAATGTTCTGTATATGTCTGTTAGGTCAAATTGCTCTACAGCATTGTTCAAATACTCTTTTCTCAGTGATATTGAGTCTGGTCTTTCAATCCATTACTAAAAGTGGGGTTTAAATATCTCTGACTACTCAGAATAGCTATTATTAAATATTTAAATATTGCGGGATCTGGCCAGCAGCCTGCAATGCAATGGGGCTCTTTCTTTGTCCCCAGGTGGATCAGCAGGTGGAGAAATAATAGACACACAAAAGATAGTGAAAACTGGGTCCGGGGGTGTCACCGCCTTCTGGTCCTATGATGCCACCAATGCATTGCATATACCAGCATTTATTATTAAGTTTAGTGAGGGTGGGGGTAGGTTAGTGAGGGATTTAGAGTCATTTGATTATGAGGTGAGATGGTCACATAGGGATGAAGTAATTCTTTAACATAACATCTGTATGCAGAAGTACAGTATACAGAGATAAGAATTTACAATATAGTGTGTGCATCAGTAATTTCTAACAGAGCCTTAAAACAGAAACATAGTCTTTCTATAACCTATGGTTAGCAAGATATTAATCAGCAGTAACAGTTGCAGCAAAAGCTGGTTACAAACAATCCGTAGAAACAGGATGTGAAGCTAGACAACCGGTTAGAACAGAAATTCTTAGAAGGGAGTATGCCTTAACCCTAAAGAGGCCTAGAAGAGCTGTGGCAAGATGAAGGCATTTATATCCCTATCTTATCCATATGAACAGGCGCCCCTCATGCATTCGTTTATAGGCTCTCTACAAGGGTAGCATTCCATTCTCAGAGCTATGAACGTCTGCTTTTCTGGGATAGGAATCTTGGTGATATGAAATCTCCCTGACTGCATGTCCGTTCATAGGCTCTCTGCAGGGGGAAGCACATCACAAACTGTTGGCTCATTCTGGCAGTCCAACCTGGCATTGTCTTTACACAACCCTGCATGCAATTTTGTATTTACAGTAATCAGGAGCATTTCATCTTTTATTCCATAGCAATAGTTTCAGGGGTCTCCCTACAGTGGGGTTGCAGAGAAAAAAGAATGCTCATGCAATGTTGGTGGGTGTGTAAATTAGTTTAACCATAGTGAAAAACAGTGTGATAATTCCTCAAAGACCTAAAAACAGAACTACCATTTGATCCAGCAATATCATTACTGAGTATATAACCAAACCAATATAAATCATTTCATAACAAAGACACTTGCATGTCTATGCAGCCTTATTCACAATAGCAAAGACATGGAATTGACCTAAATGCCCATCAATGGTAGACTGAATACAGAAAATGTAGTGCATATACACAATGTAATACAATGCAGCCATTAAAAAGAACAACATTATGTCTTTTGGTAGAACATGAATTGATCTGGAGGCCATTATCCTTAGCAAACTAATGCAGAAACATAAAAACAAATACCACATGTTCTTACTTATAAGTGGGAGATAAATTATGAAAACACATGGACATAAAAATTGGAACAGACACTGGGGCCCTTTGGAGGATGGAGGGAGAGAGGAGCAATAGGATCAACCAAAAAAGTAACTAATGGGTACTAGGCTTGATCTTAATACTTGGGTGATAAAATAATGTGTACAACAAACCCCTATGACACAAGTTTACCCATATAACAAACCTGCAAATATACCCTTGAACTTAAAATAAAAATTAGAAAAAACGTGACTACTATTTGTTGCTGTCTATTTCTCCCTTTAATTCTGTCAAGTTTTACGTATTTAGGAGGTCTGATATTTGCTGCATATATATTTAAAATTGTTATGTCTTTACAAAAAATTGAGCTTTTTATCATTATGTAATGTCTTCCTTGTCTTTTGTTACAGTTTTCAGTTTACTTTGTCTGATATGAATATAGCCATCTTGGCTCTCTTTTTTCCTTACAATTTATATAAAATATCTTCCATTATTTTACTTTCTCCCTGTGCACTTTCTTAGATATAAAGTAGGTCTCTTATATACAACATGTAATTTGATTTTTTACATTTTATATTGACAAATAAAAATTAGATATACTCATGGTGTACAGCATGATGCTTTTATATATGCCTACATTGTGGAGTGCCTATATCAATCTATTCATTTTGCAGTCTGTATATTTTGATTGAGTAGTTTAATTCTTGTGCATGAAAGTAATTACTGACAGAGAAAGACTTGCTATTTTGTTAATCCTTTTCTTTATGTGTTGTACCTTTTTTGTCTCTAAATTCTTCCTTTACTGCCTTTCCTTATATTTTGTTGGTGTTTTTTAGTGACATGCTGTATTAGTCAGGGTTCTCCAGAGAGACAGATCCTACAAGATATATGTATATATAAAAGGGAGTTTATTAAGAATTAGCTCACATGATTACAAGATGAAGTCCCATTTATTTGACCCAAGTTTGTCATGTTTATTTGGTCTTAATTCCAGTTTAAATCCAATGCTTCCTTGTTAATTTTCTGTCTAGGTAATCTATCTATGCTTACAGTAGGGTGTTGAAGTTCTCCATTATTAATGTATTAGAGTATATCTCCCTTATTTGGATCTAATAATATTTATTTTATGAATCTGGTTGATCCACTGTTGGGTGCACAATATTTAGAATTATTGAATCATTTTCCAGGATTGATCCTTTTATTACTATATGATGACCATTTTATACTCTTTTTGACTTAAAGTCTGTTTTATCTCACATTAGTTTAGTTACTTCTGCTCAATTTTGTTTCATATTTGCATGAAACAAATTTTCCTTTTTAAAATTTCCAGTCTGCATGTGTCTTTACAGGTGAAATGAATTTCTTGCAGGTGGTATACAGTTAAAGCATGGGTTTTTAAAATTCATTCAGCTAGTCTATACCTTTTAGGTGGAGAATTTGACCTGTTTACCTTGAAGGTCATTATTGGATATGTGAGCCTTAGTTTCTGTCTAGTTAATTGTTTTCTGGTTGTTTTTGTATTATTTGTTTTTTTTTTAATTTTCTCTTATTGTTTGTCATTGTAGTTTTGTGGTTTTCTACAGTGGTATCATTTTTGCCCTTTTTCTTGCTCATTTGTGTTTTTGCTGTTCCCACGAGTTTTATACTTTCATCTGTTTTCATGATGATAAATGTCATCCTTTTATTTCCAGTTTAGGACTTCTTTGGGCTTTTCTTGTGGGACTGGTCTACTAGTAATAAATTCCCTCAGCTTTTGTTTCTCTGGGAAATACTTTATTTCTCCTTCATGTATGAAAAATAATTTTGTTGTATATTGAATGACTGGCTAGCTTTGTTTTTCACTTATCACTTTGAATATATTATCCCATTCTCTCCTGGCCAGTAAGGTTTCTGCTGAGAAATATGCTGTTAGTCTGATGGGTGTTCCTTTATAGGCAACTAGACATTTTTCACTTTGTGTTATTAGAATTCTCTCTGTCTTTGACTTTAGACAGTTTTACTGTAATGTGCCATGTCAAAGACCCTTTTGCATTGCGTATGTTTGTGGATCTCTGAGATTTTTCCGTCTAGCTGTCTAAGTCTTTTGCCAGACTTCAGAACTTTTATCTATTATTTCGTTAAATAATTTTCTAACTTTTTCATCCTTTCTTCATTTTCTTGGACACAGATAATCATATCTTTGATCACTTAGTGGTGTCCAGTGTGTCAAAAAGTCTTTAATCCTTCTTTTTTATTTTTATTTTTAATTTTTGTCTATTTCAGAAGACATGACTTCACATTCTGAGATTCCTTCTTCTGCTATATTTATTCTACCGTTTAACCTAACAAATGTATTCGTTTATTTTATTCAATGAATTCTTCAGTTCTAGAATTTCTGTTCTTTTTGGTAATATCTGTATCTTTGGTAAATTTATCATTCATATCCTGACTTTTTTCTGATTTCTTGATATTGTTATTCAGAATTCTTTTGTGTCTCACTGATCTTCAGTATGAAAATTCTGATTTCTTTTTTGGGTGGAATTTGTGCATTTATTTTTCATTTGTATCTGTTGTAGAATTATTGTGTTACATTGGAGGTGACATATTTCTTTGATCTTTATGTTTCCTGTGTTCTTACATTGATACCTTTGCATCTGCTGTAACTCAGTTCTTTGAAATTTTTGAATTTGCTTTCATGGGAAAGGAGTTTTTCCTGACAATGTGTCTGTAGTGTTGATTGGCAAGGGCCCACTGGCTTTGATTCTGCGTGCCTGCAGCAGTGTAGCCTGTGTATGATTTGCTTTTGCTGTAATCAGTGTCAGTGATGTCTGTGATTTCTTTGTTGGATTAGGGAGCATTTATTAGGGGAGCCTTGTGGTAAAGTTTTGCTGGGGACTATGATGACAAGTAAGCCAGTGTTCAATCTCCAGTGTTGGCAGTGGTGGGCTGAGTGTGACTGTCCTTCAGACCCTGGGCAACATATGCTGACACCAGTGTTAGCTAATCTAGGCAGGCTGATTCTTGGGCTTTCAGGTGTCTTGCTTGGGTACCACAAATGACAGTGGTGGTACAGATGTGCAGGTGGGTTTTTGAACTCATGGCCAGTGGGTGTGGTGTGGCTGATGGCAGTTGCAGTGGTAAGACAATCCCCTGAAACCTAAGTGGTCTTCACTGGTGTTGGCGGTGACTGCAACAAGTTGAACGGTCTAGTACGCAGACCCGCAGGTGATGTGTGTGTGTGTGGGAGGGGGAAGGGGGCATCAGTTGTGGTGGTTGCAGTGGGTTGACTGAACATGACTTTAAACCCACAAAGAAATGCTCAGGTGACACTGATAGTGGATGAGGTTGTGCTCAGGTAGTGTGGGGTGAACTTGAACCAAGCTGTGCCCTCAGGCACCCCAATAGTGCATATAAATGCTGACTGTGGTATGCAGGAGAAGGTGAGCCCTGCTGGTGGAATGCTACAGTGGAGGCAACAATAGTTGCACTGTGACCCTGCTACTGGAGAGTGTAGGGTTGCTTTCCTTGAGAGCAGCTATAGGCAGACATCTGGGGGGCACAGACTTTATTTGTGCCTTGGCCCACAGCAGTCCACCGCTGCAGCTGTTGTGAGCAGTGGAATTTGTCCTCAGGGTGCATGAGTATCCACAGCTACTCTTCTGTTGGGGCTGATGAGAATGCTGCCCATAGCTCTTACCTTGCCCTCAGTTGCTGAGTAGGACACATTATGGTGTAGGCTGGGCTCTTATAATAGTGTCATGTTGCCACTAGTAAGAACTTAGGTGTTTGTGGGAAACAGTATGAGCTCTATCTCTAGACCTATGCCTTTATTCAGGTTCCACGGAGCTCCTTATGTTAGTCTCAGGGCCCACAAGGGTCAAGTGGTTCTCCCATGGTTAGGATTGTAAGAGTTTGTGGCAAGAATTTGGACCACTGTGGGGAATCTCACTTACCTTTTCCCTACATTGAGGAGTGTCTCAGGCTGTCTCACCTCTCCTCTCTCTTCTTTGCTTTGAGTATCTCCTGTCACTTCTTTTTTTGAATTTTAGCATTCTATCTTAGATGATTACCTTCTCACTGTTTTGGTTCTTTGTAGTGGAGAAGGTGTGTAGGAGATGCTTTTAATCAGGCATCTAGAAGCCCCTCTCAAACACAGTCATTTCGTTGCATTTCTTTACACTAATTACAACCTATTTGAAAATAAAGCAAGAAACTTATCCAATTTACAATAGCATCAAAAGAATAGTATACTTAGAATCAAGTTTAATCAAGAAGGTTAAAGAGCTGTACACTGAAATCTACAAAATATTGATGAAAGAAATTGAAGGCACAAATAATTGGAAAGATATATTGTGTTCATGGATGGGAAAACTCAATATTATGAAAATGTTCATACTACCTAAAATGATATCCAGGTTCAATGCAATCCCTATCAATATTCCACTGATATTTTACACAGAAATAAAAAAAACAATTCTAAAATTTACATGGAACCTCCAAACAACCCAAATAGCCAAAGGAATACTGAGGAAAAAAAAAGCTGAGTGAATTACACCATCTAGTATTAAATTACACTGCAAATCTATAGTAATAAATATAACACAGCCCTGGCATAAAAGCAGACTCATCAACTAATGGAACAGAATAAAGAACCTATAAATAAATATACACTTATATGGTAAAGTAATTTTTCACAAGTTACTGTGTAACCTGTATGATACAATGGGGATAAAACTGTCTTTTCAATAAACGGTGTTGGGAAAACAGGATAATCATATGCAAAATAACGAAATTGGACACATGTCTTACACCATATACAACATTCAACTCAAAATGGACTAAAAATTTAAACTAAGACATGAAACCATAAAACTCCTAGTACAAAACTCAAGGAAAAGCTCCCTGACATTTGCCTTAACAATATATGTATATATATACATATATATATGTACACATATATATACATATATATATACACATATATATACATATATATATACACATATATATACATATATATATACACATATATATACATATATATATACACATATATATACATATATATATACACATATATATACATATATATATACACATATATATACATATATATATACACATATATATACATATATATATATACACATATATATACATATATATATATATATATATAGAGAGAGAGAGAGAGAGAGAGAGAGAAAACCAAAAGCACATGCAGCAAAAGTAAAAACAGACGTGGAAATCGAACTAAATACCTTCTGCACAGTCAAAATCAATCACCAAAATGAAAAGGTATAGGATGTATTGAGAAAAAAAATGTTTGTGAACTGTATATTTGATAAGAGCTCAATATTCAAAATATATAAGGAATTCACACAACTCCATAGCAAAAAATCAAATAATCTGATTAAACAATGGGCAAAGCATATAAATAGACACTTTTCCAAAGAAGACATAAAAATGGCCGACGGTTGTATGAAAAGTTACTCAACATATTAATCATTAGGGAAATGCAAATCCAAATCCCAATGAGATGTCATTTCACTCCTGGTAGGAAATATATTACCCAAAAGTCAAAATATAACAAGTGTTTGAGAAAATATGGAGTAAAGGGAACTCTGGGCACCGTTGTTGGGAATGTAAATCAGTCATTATGAAAAACAGTATGGGGGGCTTTTCAGAAAATGGAAAATAGAACTTCATATGATCCAGCCATCCCACTTTCATGTATATATAAAAAAAATCACTTTCTTTAAGAGATAATTTCACTTTGCTATTCATTGTAGCATTATTCCCAATAACCACAATATGAAAATATCCTAAGTGTTCATCAACAGATGAATGGACAAAGAAAATGTGACAGATGCACATACAGACACACACACACACAAACCAGATATAGAAAGACAAATACTAAATTATCTCACTTATTGTGAAACCTAAAGCAAAGTTTAACTCGTAGTAACAGAGTATAATGGTGGTTACCAGGGTCTGGGAGGTGGGAGAAAAGGGGTAATATTTATCAAAGGGCACAAACTTTCAGTTATAAGATAAATAAGCTCTGGAGACCTAATATACAGCCTGGTGACTATATTAATAACAATACATTGTGTACTTAAAATCTGATAAGAGACTAGATTCCAAGTGTTCTCACCACTAAAACATGGTAACTATGAGTAGTGATGAATGTGTTAACTTTATGGTGAAAATCATATACAATGTGTGCATCATATTGTAAACTTTAAATATATATATTTTTTGTCAACCAAACTTCAGTAGGGCTTGGAGAAAACAGATATGTCTAATTTTTATGTCAATTTCTTATCAATAAACTATAATTCATTATGTTAACTGCAAAATAAATGCACATGAACATCAGAGATGAAGGAAAAGTGTTAGATTAAATTCATACCCATTTATGATTCACACCAAGCAAACTAGGCATACAAGGGGATTTACTCAATCTGATAAAGACCATTCATATAAAACACAAAGCTATCTTGATACTTAATGATGAAAGACTATTTTACTGATGATCTGGATAAGACAAGGTTGTCTACTCTTTTCATTCCTATTTAACATGTCACTGGAATTTTTGGAGACTATTATACAATGATTCAAGAAAATAATATATTTGTGGTCAAGCTTATTCACAAACATAACCATGTCTTTAGAAAAATATTAAGCAATCCGCAAAAAGTTACTAAATTTAATATTTGAGTTTAGAGTTTAGCAAAGTCACAGGAAACAAATAGTATTATAAACATTTATTATATTTCTATAAACAATTAATATTTGAAAATTTAAATAACAGGAGTCATTTATAAGAATAT